>NC_000014.9:71126864-71278379 GCF_000001405.40 Homo sapiens | reverse complement strand
CGGCCTCCCAAAGTGTTGGGATTACAGGCGTGAGCCACTGCGCATGGCCACGCTTGATTTATATTATTTGGAATCATATCCAAGTGCCAGGAATCCCAGAAAGCTACCCCTTCCTTGACTCCCTGCTACTATCCATTACTTAAGTAAGACAAGAAAGAACAGAGAAAAAAAAAATTTGTATAGGTTTGTACTAAGCAAATATGGGTATGTGAATACATTCACTTTCAAACTCCATTTGTTTACAGATGGAAATTACTTGGGTATGTTCTTTAAACTAAAAGTAATTTCTTCTGAGGAAAAGATAAAAGAAACAGTGCCTCTGACCTTTGATATTAAAATACCTTTATGTTTCCTCAGCGCGTGGCAAAGCACGGGCAGATTTTACAGGTTTCTCAAAAGCTTCTGTGAGCTATACTTTATAAGTGCTGGCACTACAGCCCAGGGGACTATTTTCTCCTCAAAAAGGTGAATTAGTGAAAAAGTAGGATGACCAATGCTAGAAAGATATTACCAGAAAATAAAAATAAATATATCACCCTGAGGCAATGTCACTAAAAATAAAAAGCAGTGTACCAGAACCATTTCAAGATTCTTCCATGAATCTTTCTAGGATTTAGTATTTGAATATGTTCTTAGGAAAGAAGCACTAGTAAGCCAGGTACTGTTCTGGGTGGCCGGGGCATAACAGTAGTCAAAATAGATGAAGACTCTTCTCTCAAGGAGCCCACCTGCTAGAGGGAGAGCAGAGGATAAACCAATCAACCAAGAAGTTTAAAGTTTGTCATGTGGTCATGGGGGCTAAGAAGAGTAATAGAACAGGGTAAGGGGGAGAGACACTGGAGAGATGAGGGTTTTGTTTGATAAGGTGAGCAGTGAAGGGCTTTCTGAAAAGGTAACAAACATTTATCTTTTTATTTCTATTGATTGATTGATTATTGATTGATTGTGTGACAGAGTCTCACTCCATCGCCCAGGCTGGAGAGGCACGATCTCTGCTTACTGCAACCTCTGCCTCCCGGGTTTAAGCGATTCTCCTGCCTCAGCCTCCCCGAGTAGCTGGGACTACAGGCACACACCACCACACCTGGCTAATTTTTGTATTTTTATTAGAGATGGGATTTCACCATGTTGGCCAGGCTGGTCTTGGACTCCTGAGCTCAAGTGATCTGCCCGCCTTGGCCTCCCAAAGTGCTGGGATTACAGGTGTGAGTCACTGTGCCCAGACTGAAAAGGTAACATCTAAACAGAGACCCGGTGAAAGTAAGGGAGTGGATCTTGTGGTTTACCCAGGAGAGGAACCAGCACCTGCAATGGTCTGAGGCAGGGCTGTGTTTGCCATATCAAAGGAAAAGCAGGGAAGCCAGTGTGGCAACAGTGGAGTAAGAGTGGGGAGAGTGGTGGGAGAGAGAATAAACTTAAAAGTTTATTCTGACAGGGGTGGGCAGCCTTTCAAGGTTTGGAGCTGAGAAGTGGTAAGAACTGACTTGCCTTTTAGAAGGATTTCTCTGGCTGCTGTATGGAGAATGCTATCCTTCACCATAAGGAGTGAGAAAGCTGACAGCCTAGTGGAGAAGGCAGGTGATGTATGGATAATAATTGGAAAGTGAAGTGCCCAGTATTTAGAAATCTGTAACAGGTCTGACCTAGTCTGTGGACCCAGGGGAGGCTTCCTGGGGAAAACAACATTAAATTGAGACTTAGGGGATAAGTAGTAGAGGAGACACTTAAAACCAGAGGGGAACCGGTTTAGAGCACACCACTGTCTCTAGGGAAAATTTGACCCTGGTTTTGGACTCCTCAGTGACTGGTTGGTTGGCCCTTCAGTGAGTTAGGAATACATGTCGTTATTCTCCAATTTTCTTATAAAATGTGGGCCCTGTTACTTGGATTGCACAGAATGCATGGGTGCCTTCCTATGTACAGCTTGTCTTCTTCAGGCCATAGTTGACAATGGAAGCAGCTGTGGGACACCGGAAAGAATTTTGAATTTAGGTGGGCCAGGGTTCTTATTGCAACTCTGTCACTTACTAGTTGGATGACACTGGTATGGTTTCTAAACCCCTCTGGATCACCATGTTCTCAGTGGATAACACTTAGGTCTAAAGGATATATGAAGTAAGGTATATAAAAGGTCAAACACATTAGTAGCTGCTTATATTAGTCCATTCTTGCATTGCAATTAAAATAATACCTAAGACTGGGTAATTTATGAAGAAATGAGGTTTAATTGGCTCTTGGTTCTGCAGGCTATACAGGAATCATAGCTTCTTCCGCTTCTGGGAGTTCTCAGGAAAGTTACAATCGTGGTGGAAGGCAAAGGAGAAGCAGGCAAGTAAGACATGGCTGGAGCAGGAGAAAGAAAGAGAGGGGAGGTGCTACACACTTTTAAACAACCAGATCTCACAATAATTCACTCACTCACTATCATGAGAACAGCACAGAGGGGATGGTGCTAAACCATTCATGAAGTATCCTCCCCCATGATTCAATCATCTCCCACCAGACCCCACCTCTAACACTGGGATTACAATGAGATTTGGGTGGGGATGAAGATCCAAACCATATCACTGCTCAATAAATTCTAGTTCAAAATCAAAGCAAAATGGACTTCTAACCAACTGATATTTGCTATTATTTGAATGTGTATCTCAAAAGTTCATATACTGGAAACTTAATCAATCTGCCTTCATGGATTAATGTCACTATCATGGGAGGGGGTTTGTTATTGAGGGAGTGGCTTTGTTATAAAAGCGAGTTTTCTCCATCTCTCTTGCTCCTTGCCTTTCACCATGTGATGCCCTCCTTCATACTATGACAAAGCAAAAAGACCCTCACCAGATGCTGGCACCATGCCCTTGGACTTCCCAGCCTCCAGAACTATGAGCTAAATACACTTCTTGTCTTTATAATTACTCAGTCTGTAGTATTCTGTTATAGCAGCAGGAAACAGACTAAAAATATTTGAGAAAGACACTTGGAAGGCAGCTTTGCATCCATTTCTCTGAGCACTATATGCTAGGCCCTGGAGTTACATTCACCAATTACTGGCCATGGGTACACTATCTAAACTTGAAGCTCCAATTTTCTCATCTGTCAAGTGGGGCAAGTCATAGTTCCTATTTTACTGAGTGGCAGTGAGGACCAAATGAGATGATGCAGGCAAATTGAGAGAATGCCTTATGTATAGCAACTACTCTATAGAAAAGTCTTAGTCCATTTTATGCTGCTATAAGAGAATACCTGTTTATATCCATTTATAATCAAGAGGAATTTATTTCTCACAGTTCTGGAGGCCAGGAAATCCAAGATCAAGGTGCCAGCAGGTTCACTTGTCTGGTGAGGGCTGCATCATCTGAAGGGAAGGGATGCCATGTTCTCACATGGCAGAGAACAGAAGAGCAAGCTAGCTGAATGTTGCATGAAGTCTCTTTTATGAGGGCCTTAATCCCATTCACAAGGGAGGAATTCTCATGACCTCAATCACCTCTTAATGGCCCCACTGCTTAATCCCATCACACTGGGCACACCTTAATTTTGGAGAGGACACATTCAAGCCGTAGCAGTTCCATATCATGATTATGCTCTCTCCCTGTATCTGGCTAGTTCATCAGAAGGCTATATCTCCAGATTTTGTTGGTTTAGTGGATTCCCACTTCCTCCCTTCACCTGTGGAATATACAACTGTGCTTGAAGTGTTGGTGTTGAGGCTCTGGTGAAAGGGGAAATTGAAGCTAAAGGAGGAGGGTTGGGTGGCCAATAGAAACATCCCCCACTCCACATCCCTGCAACAAAGTCCCCAGGAAAAGGCTCATGTTCTTTCCCTTGATACCTTAAGGCACTCCCAGTATAAATTCTTGGCTGCTTTTCTATTTTATTGCTTTCTGGACTTCTTGTCTAGACACCTTGCCTTCCCTTTATTTCTTATCTAATGCTAAGATTCCATGGTTAGCAGGATATTTGAGAAGGAGGTAAACACTGGAAAGTATAATAGGCAGGATGCCAGAAGATTCATCCACCCACCCATTCATCCATCCACCCATCCATCCCTCCAAAAAATATTTGCTGACCATCTAGTATGTGTCATGTACTTCTTAGTGCTGAGGATATAAAACTGAAGACCTGTGGGTTTCTCAACATTACCAGGGAGTGAGACTTATAAATAAATCTAATACCAGTTTTCCACTGCAGGTGACAGAAAACCTAGGTCAAAGTGGCCTGAACAACAAGATATTTATTGTATAAAATATAAAGTAGTTCAGAGGTAGGGCAGGTATCATGTGCATTACATAAAGTTCCCATTCTTCTTCTCTGTAATAGTCTTGGATTTGTCCTGCTCTGTGTGTACTGGCATCTAATCCAGGCTAGAGCTGCTGCATATTAGTAAAGGAGAATGGGGTGGGGGCCCTGGGTGTTTGCTGGGTGACAAATAGTCTGCTACACAGGACTGGGAGATGCTGTATGAGTGGTATTTGTACATTACGTGGTGGGAGTTCAGAGGGTGTACCAAAGGTTTTTGTTTGTTTGTTTGTTTTTTATGGGTGAGGGAGGGAGGCAACAGTTGGGAAGGTATTAAAAATTAAGTGACTTGGACTGGGGATAAAGAGCATGAGGCTGAAAACCATGTTCGATACAGATTGAGAGGGTCTTAGAAGCCTTTCTCAAGTGATTTGGCTTAATCCTACAGGAAATACAGAGTCACTGTTTATATTTTTAATGTTTTTAAATCATATTTTTAGTTGAGCAACAAATAGGAAAGGGGAACAAGAACAACTATTATCAAATGTCTACTATGTGCTAGAAGCCATGTGGATGGTTGCCATAGATTCTCTCTTTAATCATCACAACAATCCTTTTTGAGGCTACAATTGCCCATCTTATAGTGAGCAAATGGCTCAGGAATCGTGTATCATAGCTTGGTCAAACAATAGAAGCCCTCACTCATTGGTGCTGGCCCAGGACACCATTACAGGTATGGCATTCCTAAGCCCCTGACCAATGTGGGTAAGACAAGGCACTGTAGTGGAAAGAGCATGAAGTGGTTGTTGCAATAGTACAGAAAGGAGGTAGTGAGCATCTAGACTGGAGCAGCAATGGCAGGAATGAAGAAGAAACACATAAATAGGAGCAAAAATCATGGGCATTAGTGACCAAGTGCCTGTTGTGGATGAACCAGTTGAGTTTTCCAAGATACCATCAGTTTGACTGTAAAGCTTATTTTGCAAGTTTAAATTTGCTCCAGTCCTATTGATAATTAGAGAAAAATTTGAGTGAAATCTGAACTTCAGAATACTTATGCATATATTTGTCCTCCAAGAAACACTAAGTGTATGAAGAAAACTGCACCCAGTTTAAAAATACACAGAACACACACGGTGCACACACCTCAAACAAACATATAGCAGTTACCTCAGTTCACCGTGTGTGTCAGGAGCTACATCCATCCACACCTGATGTTACAACTTTTAGCCTGATTTCTGGTAATCCTCCTTCCACTAATTCACAATAATACACAAACTGCAGCTCTTCTGACACCCTCTTCCACAGGCAAACTTCAGGTCTTTTTACAGTGCCATGTTTATTGTGTTATTTATGTATTTTATTATTTTATTAACCATTTAACATGTGTAAGACCATCCTACTGTTTTCATTAGGTTCTACCACTTTTAAGTGCCATTGATGATGTTTTTGAGTGTTATGCCCATTTTTCCCATATATCCTGTGCTTTTTATTGATCAAGTTTGTCCAATACACTGATTTTTAGGAATATATGTGTGTTGATTGTAGTGGTTTGGATGCTTGGAAGCACAATGATCAGTTTCTGAGACAGGAAATACAGCAGTGACAGGTTTAGTCAAGGATGGGAAGATTGTGGCTTTGGATGTGCTGAGTTTGAAGTTCCAGGAGAAGTTGGAGAGTATCCACAAGGTGATTAAAAATATTGATCTGAAGTTCGGGGGGAGGGGAAGCCAACAACAGCAGGAGATACATAAGTAGTTTTGGAGAAAATTAGCAAATACAAGGTAATTGGAGCCATGAGAGTGAAAGAAGCTTCCTTCAGAGGGGCATAGAATGAGAAGGTGAGAGGCTAGGAGGATACCTGAGGACCCTAGCACCTAAGGAAAGGCAGGTAAAGAGGAGCCACAGAAGGAACCTGGGTCAGAGGTTGGGAAGGTAGGAGAAAATGGTGTCATGAAGTCAAGAGAGGTCAGAGTTTAAGAGGGGAAAGGTGGGTCAACAATGGCAAAGGCTCCAAAAGTTCAGATGAAGTGAGTTGTGGAGTAGACCTTAGGTTAGGGCATTCATAATTTTTTTTTTTTTTTTTTTTTGAGACAGAGTCTGGCTCTTTTGCCCAGGCTGGAGTGCAGTGGTGGAATCTCGACTCACTGCAACCTTTGCCTCCTGGGTTCAAGCGATTCTCCTGCCTCATCCTCCTGAGTCGCTGGGACTACAGGCATGCAGCACCACACCCAGCCAATTTTTGTATTTTTAGTAGAGATGGAGTCTCACCATGTTGGCCAGGCTGGTCTTGAACTCCTGACCTCAGGTGACCCACCTGCCTCAGCCTCCCAAAGTGCTGGGATTATAGGCATGAGCAGCCACCACGCCCGGCCCATAATTCATTTGTTTACAGTAGAAACGGCAGGCTTCTGGAGTCTCTTCTCCCAAGAATTTTAGATGTGAAGTGAAACAAAGGAATGGTATTTCGTAAGGGAGGGGAAACTGAAGACAAAGTTAAAGGATGTTTTTAGAGCTAGGAGTAGGGTATGAAAAGATACAGTGAGTTAAGTAAAGAAGGAAATGGAAAGAAGCAGAAAGTGATGGAAATTGTTAAATTGGGGTGGGGGAAGGATGATTTCTTCTTCCTCTGAAACAGGAATGAATAAGGCAACATGAATTTAGATATAGCAGAGTTGATACGCCAGCCTCCGTCCTCCTTGGGAAACAAAAGGAAAGTGAAAATAGAATTACAGTGGCTTAACCAAAAAGGGGCTTATGTTTTCAGCATAACAAAAAGTGACAAGAGGTAGCCAGTCCAAGGCTGATCCAGGGGCCGTGCAATGTCGTCAGTGCCCTAGACTCCTGTATTTCTGCCTTACTAGCTTTTAGTGTGTGGCTTTGTCATCATAGGGACAATATGGCTGCTGACATGCCACATATCATGTCTTCATTTCAAGAGAAAACATGGAGAAGGGCATAGAAATTGCATGCCAGTAAGATCCTTCTCTTTTTAAATCAGGAAAATATAGCTTTCCTGAAAGGCCCCACCCAATAGACTTCCATTTACATTTCATTGGCCAGAACTAGGTCTGGCTATAAGAGCATTTGGGTAAGCTATTATTTTTTACTCTTATGAAGGAAAAAATGAAGAATAGATATTGGATAAACAACTAGCTATGCCTGCCACACTGAAAATAAGGAAGAATGAAATTTTGGACAGTATAAAGGACACAGTATGGTTTGGAGACATATGGGGCTCTGTCATCTTCTAGTTGGGTAACCAGAGGTAGTTGCTTTACCTCAGTGGGCCTAAAGTTTTCTGATCCATAAGAGGAGATAGTAAAACTACATTATTTCTAAGATTCCTTATTCTACAATCTAAGGCTTATATAATATGCATTTTTTAAATAGCAGGGAATAATGACTGACTTTCTTGGAAGTTTAAGAAACCTGCTGCTTATGATTCTTTAATAAAGCTACTCTTCCAGTTCATACTGGCATGGTATGGGACACAGGGGAAATGTTGTCTATAGGTATGTTTGTTAAGCTTATCAGTGTACCAAATCCAAGTTTTTTAGAGTTAAATATACACATATGAACACTTCTTTGATATGGACAACTAGAAGTGGAATTGCAGGGTTGAAGGCTATATTAGTCCATTCTCATGCTGCTATGAAGAACTGTCTGAGACGGGGTTATTTATAAAGGAAAGAGGTTTAATTGACATAGTTCAGCAAGGCTGGGGAGGCCTCAGGAAAATTACAATCATGGTGGAAGGGAAGGCAAACATTTTCTACTTCACATGGTGGCAGCAAGGAGAAGTATGAGTGAAGCCAGGGAAATCCCCTTGTAAAACCATCAGATCTCATGAGAACTCACTCACTGTCATGAGAACAGCATGAGGGTAACCATCCCCATGTTTCAATTACCTCCCACAAGGTTCCTCCCAAGATATGTGGGGATTATGGGATCTACAATTTAAGATGAGATTTGGGTGGGCACACAGCCAGACCATATCAGTCCCTCCCCCAGCCCCTCCCAAGCCTCATGTCCTCACATTTCAAAACACAATCATGCTCTTCCAACAGGCCCCCAAAGTATTAACTCATTCCAGTATTAACTCAAAAGTCCAAGTCCGAAGTTTCCTCTGAAACAGGGCAAGTCCCTTCCACCTATCAGCCTGTAAAATCAAAAGCAAATTAGTTACTTCCTAGATATAAGTGGGGGAAAGGCATTGGGTAAATATACCCATTCCAAATGGCAGAGATTGGCCAAAACAAAGGGGCTACAGGCCTCATGCAAGTCCAAAATCCAATAGGGCAGTCATTAAACCTTAAAGTTCCAAAGTGATCTCCTTTGGCTCCATGTCTCACATCCAGGTCATGCTGATGCTCGAGATGGGCTCCACAGCCTGGGGCAACTCTGCCCCTGTGGCTTTGCAGGGTACAGCCCACCTCCTGGCTGCTTTCATGGTTGGTCTTGAGTGTCTATGGCTTTTCCAGGCATACAGTGCAAGCTGTTGGTGGATCTACCATTCTGGGGTCTGGAGGATGGTGATCCTCTTCTCATAGCTCCACTAGGCAGTGCCCCAGTGGGGACTTTGTGTGGGGACTCCAACCCCACATTTCTCTTCTTCACCACCCTAGCAGAGGTTCTCCATGAGAGCTCTGCCTCTGCAACAGACTTCTGCCTGGACATCCAGGCATTTCCGTGCATCTTCTGAAATCTAGGCAGAGCTTCTGAAACATCAGTTCTTGACTTCTGTGCACCCACAGGCCAAATACCATGTGTAAGCCACCAAGGCTTGGGACTCGTACTCTCTGAAGCAATGGCCTGAGTTGTATCTTGGCCTCTTTTAGACATGGCTGGAGCTGAAGCAACTGGGACTCAGGGCATCAGGTACTGAGGCTGCATAGAGGAGGGGGACACTGGGCCTGGCCCACAAAACCATTTTTCCCTCCTAGGCCTCTGGGCCTGTGATGGGAGGGGCTGCTGTGAAGGTCTCTGACATGCCCTGGAGAATTTTCCCCATTGTCTTGATGATTAACATTCAGCTCCTTGTTACTTTGCAAATTTCTGCAGCCAGCTTGAATTTCTCCCCAGAAAATGGGTTTTTCTTTTCTATCATATTGTCAGGCTGCAAATTTTCCAAACTTTTATGCTCTGCTTCCTCTTGAACACTTTGCCGCTTAGAAATTTCTTCCACCAGATACCCTAAATTATCTCTCTCAAGCTTGAAGTTCCACAGATCTCTAGGTCAGGAGCAAAATGCCATCAGTCTCTTTGCTAAAGCATAGGAAGAATCAACTTTATTCCAGTTCCCAGTAAGTTCCTCATCTCAGTCTGAGACTACCTCAGCCTGGACTTCATAGTCCATAACACTTTTGGCATTTTGGTCAAAGCCATTCAACAAGTCTCCAGGAAGTTCCAAAAGAAATTTCCAAACTTTCCCACATTTTCCTGTCTTCTGAGCCCTCTAAACTATCTCCACCTCTGTGTGTTACCCAGTTCCAAAGTTGCTTCCACATTTTTGGGTGACTTTACAGCAGCACCCCACTCACTGTGCTACCAATTTACTGTATTAGTCCATTCTCACACTGCCTATAAAGAAGTGCCCAAGACTGGGTAATTTATAAAGGAAAGAGGTTTAATTGAGTCACAGTTTAGCATGGCTAGGGAAGCCTCAGGAAACTTACAATCACGGCGGAAGGGGAAGCAAATGTGTCCTGCACATGGTGTCAGCAAGGAGAAGTATGAGCGAAGTGGGGGGAAAAGCATCTTATAAAACTACCAGATTTTGTGAGAACTCACTCACTATCATGAGAATAGCATGAAGGTAACCAGCCCCATGATTCAATTGCCTCCCACCAGGTCCCTCCCATGACACGTGGGGATTATGGGAACCACAATTCAAGGTAAGGTTTGGGTGGGGATACAGCGGAATCATATCAAAGCCTATGGGATTTTAAAAATTTAACATAAACTATCAAATTAACCTCCAAAGAAACTGTACCAATTTATATTCTCACTGGCAACATACCTGAGTGCCAATTCCCCTAGCATAAAATATATGTAAATATGAAGAAATAAATAGTAGTATAAGTTCTTTCACTCTTTGTCAGACACTGTCAAATGCCCTTTACAATAATTATTTTATGTAATTCTGACTACCCTGTAAAGTAGGTGGTAGTATTATGCCCATCCTAGAGATGAAGAAACTAAGTCTTGGAAGGGTTAAACAGCTTTTCCAAAGCCACATGTTTAATTATCGGCAAAACTGAAACTGAAACCTAGGTTTGCCTGATATCAAATCTATTTTCTTAAACTCTGTACTCTACTTCTTTGCTATTTATTCTCACTGGGTCTTTAACCCACATGGAGAAACATGGAAAAATTTTTCTATCTTGCCTCAAGATTCTGCCCAGAAGCCCTAACATTGCCAGCGCCAGAAATTGGTTGAGGGCAGTATTGCTCAGAATAAGCTTGTAGCACTAGAAAGCCACAAAACTATATTATCCACTAATATTAATAGAACCTTCAAGAATTATAATGAAGCCTCCTTTTT
The DNA here is from genome assembly GCF_000001405.40 of Homo sapiens. Classification (NCBI taxonomy): domain Eukaryota; kingdom Metazoa; phylum Chordata; class Mammalia; order Primates; family Hominidae; genus Homo; species Homo sapiens. The sequence goes on along the minus strand of NC_000014.9, from coordinate 71,267,596 downwards.
ATGGTTTCCAGCAGTGTGAATAACACAGAAGCAAAGGTAATTTATTTTCACCTTTCTTTCCCTTGCTAAGTAAGAAGTAACTGTGTCTTCAGGTTGCATTTTTAAAGACAATCTCAAGTTTTTCTTGTTCTTTGTCATGGACCTGAGGGAAGGTTCCCACAGGTCCTAGTCTATGCCTATTTGATGCTTCTTGGATATTTGCCCAGTCGCACAATTAGGTATTGAACTTCGTTTTGTCATAACACATAACCACTGCAGGAGAAAAATAATCCCCTGAATGGAATGACCTGTGCTTATAGTATAGATTTTGCTGGAACAAGGTCAACAAACTGCAGTAGCTATTAGTCATTGCCTAGTTCTTAGAACCCTGCTAAGACAGAAATTGCCCACACAAGAAAATCTTGAGGTTCACCTCGGCCTTTTAAAATGACTAAGAAAATTGGGTAAGGGCAGGGCTGAAGTGGTCATTACAGAGTATGGGGAAACTTGATGGGATTTGGTAAGTTGGCCCTTGAAAGAGGTACGATCTCATGTTGTGGAGAAACACAGGGGCGCTCTTATCAACAAGTGATTGAGACAGAGACTTAGATCAGTCTGAAATAAACTGATTTAACCCAGTAGAGAGTCCTCTATCTTGAAGCCTAGAGACCTGGCAGCAACTGATATAATCATATAGTTTTTCTTCTTTATTCTATTAATCAAATGAATTACACTGATTTATTCTTTTATAGTTTTATTGAGGTATAACTTCTATACAACCAAATTCACTCACATTAGATGTGCAATTTAATGAGTTTTGCAACATCTATACAGTCATGCAATCACCACAATGTTTTTAGGATTTTTTCTGAAATCTTCTATTTAATTTCTGTTATTGGTAATTTATATTTTCTCTTTTTTCTTTATCAGTCTTGCTAGGTGTTTACTACTTTTATTAACCATTTCAAAGAATTAACTTTTGATTTATATTCTCTTATTTTTCATCTGTTTTTTTGTTGATTGACTTGTGCTCTTATCTTTATTATTTCCTAATTTTTACTTATTTTGGGTTTAATTTGCTCACTTTCTTTCTAGTTTCTTATGTCAAAAATTCAGATAATTTTGGGGAGTAACAGCATTATTGAGATATAATTCATATACCATACAATTCACCCATTTAAAGTATACAATTAAACAATTTTAAGTACATTCATGGGGTTGTGCAACCAATATCAAATACTTTTTAGAGCATTTTCATCGCCCCAAAAAGAAACCGTATACCCTTTATCAATCACTCCACCCGTCCCTCAGCTCTGAACAACCACTAATCTAATTCTTGTCTCCATAGATTCATTTATTCTGGACATTTCCTATAAATGGAATCACATAATATGTGGTCTTTTGTGACCGACTTATTTTATTTAGCCTAATGTTTTCAAGGTTCATCCATGTTACAGTATGTGTTGGTACTTCATTCCTTTTTATTGCTGATTAATATTCCATTGTATGGACATAGCACATTTTATGTACTCATTCATCAATTGATGAATAAATGGTTTTTTTTCTTCATTTCTAATATAGACACTTAAAAGTATAACATTTCCTCTGAGCACTCCTTTACCTGCATCATACAGCTCTGATATCTTGTATTTTAATGATAATTCCATTCAAAATATTTTCTACTTTCCCTTGTGAAATAAATCATGGATTTAAAAAATAAACGTTGATTAATTTCCAAATATTTGGGACTTTTGTCTATATCCTGCGGATTGAAGAATCTCTATTGATCTATCTTCACAATCTTCACATTCACTCTTTCTCCAGCTGCCTCCAAGATGTTGTTAAGAGCATCTAATGAATTTTCCATTTCACTTATTGTACTTCTCAGCTATAAAATTTCCATTTGCTTCTATTTAAATAGTATCTATTTCTCCTCTGTGATTCCCCCACCAGGTTTATTTGCTATGATCAAATTTTTCCTAAATTCTTGAACATATTTATAATGACTGCCTTAAAGTCTTGTCTATTTATTACAGCAACATCTAGGTCATCTCTGGTTCCTTTTTTTCCCCTGAGTATGTGTCACATTTTTCTGGTTACCTTGCACATTCTGTGATTTTTAGTTGAATGCTGGTTATAATGGATACTACAATGTAGAAACTCTGGGTTCCATTATGTTCCTTTGAAGAGTAATCTTCTCAACTTGGCTGGACTCAAATTCCAAACTTTGTCTCCCTGCAGTTAGCAGCAGTTGAATTCTCTGCTCAGGTCAGCTTCCAGCTGCTACTTTTTTGTTTCGCTCTTTCTCTTTTTCTATTTCTGGACCAGTCAAGAAGTTGGGTGGATTTTTTAAAGATAGATTTTGGGTCTCACAGTACCTGCAGTAATTCCCTTCTAGGATTTCCCCCTTAATTCTAGCCAATCTGATTCCATGACAACTCAAGACAATGGATTAGTGAGTGCACACAGGTAAAAAAGTTGCAGACTTGCAAATCTCACAACATATATTTTGCCTTTAAAGGTGAACTTCTCACCACTTTGTTTTTGATAAATCTCCAGTATATTGAAATTGTTCTTTGTTTCTAAACACTTTTTCCAGTTTTTATAACTGTTTTTTATAGGAGGGTTAGTCCAACCAAGCTGTTCTGCCATTACTAGAAGTTGAAAGTCATTTTTAAACAATTTTCAAAAAAACATACTACTTAACAAGACCTTATAGGGAAGATATACAAGGATCTATTTTATGGTATATTCTAAAAATACAGTTTCAGAAAGAATCAAGGTTTACCAAAAATATTATATAATTTGAGAAATAGAAATTACAGAAAATCACCTTCATCTCCCTTAGGTACATATGTTAGTTTTTAAAAGGGAAAGAAAGCTGAGGAAGGAACAAGCAGTAGAACTATTCAAATACAAAATTGGTATTTTTCATAGAAAACTTTATTTAACATTGAAGATGTTGTTACATTTTGCATGCAATTTAAAGTTTTAAATTTTTGACATACTCTGCCAAATGAGGGTCAATTGTTATGTTAGATGTCTGCTAGTTAATCCTGTCTCACTCAAATTATCTATCTCTGTAAATGACAAACAAACATCCCTGAGGCTGTGGCTACAGTAGCTGCCACAGAACTAATGAGGCTGAGGATGGCTGGGGCACAAAGCAATCCCACAGACTTGAGGTCCCAACTGCTGGGAGGAGCAGCAGCACAGCAAGGATTACCCTGTTTGATGAGCAGAGGTCATGACTGATTTTGTCGCCACAGAAAAACTCAGGTGAACTCACTGCAAGAATTTTACGGTAAAATGTCTTATGTAGACCAAAAATTTTAAAGTCACATAAATGAAGCTAGTCTTACAACCAGGTAATTGGTTAATGGATTAACAAGACGAGCCAGTTAAAAATGTCACTATTATCATTGATTGCTTTGGGTTATGAGTGTTCTCTCAGATTCCTGTTTTAAAAATGGACTTCTTCCAACAAAGATTAAGATCTGAAGATTTTGGACTTCTTCCAACAAAGATTAAGATCTTAAGAATGGAAATTTAAAAAAAAAATCTTTGCTTCTCTAGAACTGTGGAACTGGCAACATGGGACTATTGGGTTCAAAGTGCCATAATTTTTGCCCTGAAATAACTGAGCTAATGATCCCAATTTAGATTTTTTTTAAAAAAGCAAGTTCAGATGATCCAACAAACCATCAAGATTTAGAGGGAGGCCAGGCGCTGTGGTGGCACACACCTGTAATCCCAGCACTTTGGGAGGCTGAGGCAGGTGGATTGCTTGAACTCAGGAGTTTGAGACCAGCCTGGAAACATGATGAAACCCCGTCTCTACATAAAATAAAAAAATTAGCCGGAGGTGGTGGGTCATGCCCATAGTGTAGGCACTTAGGAGGCTGAGGTGGGAGGATCAATTGAGCCCAGGAGGTTGAGGCTCCAGTGAGCTGAGATTGCATCACTACACTCCAGCCTGGGTGACAGAGTGAGACCCTGTCTCAAAAAAAAAAAAAAAAAAAAAAACGGGAAGAAAGGAAGGAGCCAGGCGTGGTGGCTCACTCCTGTAATCCCAGCACTTTGGGAGGCCAAGGCAGGCAAATCACATGGTCAGGAGTTTAAGACCAGCCTGGCCAATATGGTGAAACCCCGTCTCTACTAAAAGTACAAAAATTAGCCGGGTGTGGTGGTGTGTGCCTGCAGTCCCAGCTACTCGGGAGGCTGAGACAGAAGAATTGCTTGAACTTGGGAGGTGGAGGTTGCAGCAAGCTGAGATCGTGCCACTGCACTCCAGCCTGGGCAACAGAGCGAGACTCTGTCAAATTAAAAAAAAAAAAAAAAAGGAAGGAAGGAAGGAAGAAAAGGAAAGGGAAGGAAGGGGAAGGGAAGGGAAGGAAGGAAAATAAAGATTGATTTAGAGGCAGCCAAAAAGAGAAAAACAACCTGGCTCTCAAAGGTAGACTGAGACCCTGGCTGAAAGACAGAAGGGATGGGAGTAAACTATGAAAATGTTATGAGGTGAAAAACAAGAATGAATTAGAGGAAGCGACATAAAAACCCAGTGTCATTCTGAAGAGCCACAGACATTTAACATTCAAAGCATCTTGCCATGTTATTTTAATTGGTCAGCATATCATTCTACTATATTTGAAAAGTATTTTTAAAAATTTTTAATTGCGGCAAAATATGCATAGCATAAACTTTACCATTGTAAACATTTTTAAGTGTTCAATGGCATTAACTACATTCACATTGTTGGGCATCCATTGGCATGTTTTAAACATTGTAAACTTTTATCATAGCCCCACCATAGCATTTCCTACTGCCTACTGTCTCTAAACCTAATGGTTTTCCCTTGAGGAATGAGGACTCAGAAGACATTGCTGACTGATGGGTGAAAGTTACAGAGAGAAGGAATTTGGCTCAACATGAGAAAGAACTTTCTAAGTTTAGATCTGACCAGCAGAGGAACGGGAGGCCTGTGAGCTCCCCTTTGAAGGTGAAGAGTGTTCACACAGGGGGCCTTAAGCCATCTGTTGGGTGTGTTTTAGAAGGGATTCCTGTCCTGGGTGGGAGAAGGACCTCTGGGCTTCCTTCCAACTAGGAGATCCTATAGTTGAACTGACTTAGAAATTGCTGTACGCTCAGGTTTCAGATGAGTTTACTGGATTTCAAGTACACTAGATTTGAGCTTTAAAATAGGCACACTTTAAACCACTCATTGACAGGTTTTACCCTTGTCTTAAAATTGTCTGTTGTTTTGTCTAAACTATGGAGAAATAATTCAAAGTCAGTTACTTGGTTTCAGGCCCAGTTCAACCACTTATCAGCCAAGAGATACAGGGCAGGCTACCTTCACAAGGAGCTACTTTCACTTAAAAGGGCTCTGTAGGCCTTTAGGTTTGCCCCATTCCAGTACATTTTCCACATTGCTACCAGAATAATCTTTCTTTTTTTTTTCTTTTACACATTATTTTTATTTTTTTGAGACGGAGTTTTGCTCTTGTCACCTAGGCTGGAGTGCAATGGCGCGATCTCGGCTCACTGCAACCTCCTCCTCCTGGGTTCAAGCGATTCTCCTGCCTCAGCCTCCCGAGTAGCTGGGATTACAGGCACACACCACCATGCCTGGCTAGTTTTTGTATTTTTAGTAGAGACGGGGTTTCACCATGTTGGTCAGGCTGGTCTTGAACTCCTGACCTCAGGTAATCCCCCCACCTTGGGCTCCCAAAGTGCTGGGATTACAGGTGCGAGCCACAGTGCCCAGCCACACATTTTTTTTTTTAAATGGTGTGTATGTTGCTCAGGCTGGTCTTGAACATTTGGGTTCTAGTGATCCTCCCACCTCAGCCTTTGAGTAGTAGGTCTTACAAAGCACATGCCACTGTGCTCAGCTCCAGAATCATCTTTCTAAGATGCAAATCCGAGCATGTTACCTTCTCTCCCTTTAAAAAATTCTTCAATGGTATCCCTTCATTTAAAAAATAAAGTTCAAGTTTCTAAGCGTGGCATCCAAGGCCACCATGCTCAGCTCTTGAAGCTTTTCTCTTGCTGTTCCTCCCTCAAATTCCAGTCTTTAGCTGGATCGAATGACTCGTTTCTCCAGTCCTCATTTGTCTGGCTAACTCCTACATATTCTTCAAGACTCAGATCAGATATGGCCTTTTAAGGAAGCTTCCATTTCCCCTTATGGCTCAGCCAGGGCTCTTTACAGCACCTCATCATCTGTGGCCATTACACAAGCATTCTAGAAGAAGAACTTTTGGTGACCTATCAGGTCTGAGGGGGAGAAAAAGAAGTTGGATTCCTGCCTGAATCCACACAGCACTGCAACCAAAAGATCAGAGGATTAAAAAATAGTATGGACTAGGGAAGGTCTTTGTATACATGACATAAAACACAGAAGCCATTTTAGAAAGACAATTAAATACTATCGTGAAAATTTTTGAATTCTCCGTGTCAAAAAACATGATTAACAAAATCTAAATACAAATGATAAATAAGGAAAATCTGAAATATGTCTCACATAAAGAGTCCCTACACAACAATAAGAAAACAAACACATATATGAAAATGGGCAAAGAATATAAACTGTATGCATAAAGAGTTACATATGGCTTTTAACCAAATGAAAAAAGTAAACATTATTGTAAAATTTATTAATGATAAGAGAGGTGCTAATTAAAACTGCAATGGTATTTTTTTTTTTTTTTTTGAGATGGAGTCTCGCTTTGTTGCCCAGGCTGGAGTGCAGTGGCACAATCTCGGCTCACTGCAACCTCCACCTCCCAGGTTCAAGCGATTCTCCTGCCTCAGCCTCCTGAGTAGCTGGGACTACAGGTGGCCGCCACCACACCCAGCTAATTTTTGTATTTTTAGTAGAGACGGGGTTTCACCATATGGGCCAGGCTGGTCTCAAATTCCCAACCTTGTGATCAGCCCGCCTGGGCCTCCCAAAGTGCTGGGATTACAGGCATGAGCCACTGCGCCTGGCTATGATTTTTTTTTTCATCGCTCAGATTAGCAAAGATTTAAAAATCTGAAAATGTTGTTGGTAAGAGTATGTGGAGACAGGTATGCTATCCATACACTGAGTGGAAAGATAATTTGATACGCTATTTATGGTGACATGATCAAAATTACAAGTGCACATTCTCTGGATTCAGTCATTTCATTGCTGGGACTTTATCCATAAATATGTACACGAGTGACATGACTATTTGCAAGAAAAAGCTTTATCTAGCTTGTTACTTTCAATCTGAGTCTTTACATGTAAGGTCTGTCTCTTGTAGACACTATAGGGGTGGGTCTTCATTTTTTATCCAGTCTGACTGTGTCTTTTAGTTGGAGTATTTAGTCTATTAATGCTGAATGCATTTATGGATATGATCAAATATAGGTCTAACAATTGCTATTTGCTTTTCACTTGCCTAATCTGTTTTTGTCCTTTTGTTCTTCCTTTCCTGTCTTTCTGGGCTAAGGAAATAATACATTTCCAGTTTAACTCCCACATTGACTTTTTAGCTATGCTTCTTTGTATTACTTTTTATAGTGGTTGTTTTTGGGCTACAAATATGCATCTTTAACTTATCACAACCTACTTAGAGTTAATATTGTACTACTTAATGTAACATATAATTCCTCAACACTATAGTTCCATTTACCTCCCCATCCTTCATTTTATTATTCTATATATTTTATCTACTTACATGATAAACCCCACAATACAGTGATTTAACTTCTACTTTACAGAGTCATATGACTTTTAAAAAATAGGATAAGAAAAAAATTAATCCTAGTCTAGTGGCAGCCATGAGAGTGTTGCTCAGACCTCCCTTCAAGAACCCTACTGTGAGGAGAGCAGCTGGTGGATACCTTCCAGTTGCTGTACTTTCAGGTCTTCTGGGGCATTCATGCCAAAACCATACTATGCCCCAGCCAGTGATTGAGCACAGCAGAGGTACTAGAGCCAGGCCATTCTTCACTGATGTGGAACTCCTCTCATGGGTATTCTTTACTCCAGAGATTCTGATTGGCTGGAAAAGATTTTCTCAGAGCTGCACTGCAGTAAGACTTCTACACAATCTTCCTTCCTTCCCTTTCACTTTTCAGATGTCAGACTTACATTGCCATCTGAGGTTCTCCCTATTCCTCCTTCCACTTCCTTTTATCCTTCACAGGCTTTCCCTCAGTAAATCTCATGCACATCTAGGTCCATCTTGGCATCTGCCTTTTGGAGGACCTGAAATGATGTAAGTCTGTTATACATATTCATATATTTACTATTTCTGGTGCTCTTCCAGCATGTGTTTTTTGTTTGTTTGTTTTTTATAGTCTGAAGAAATACCTTTCTCATAGTGCAGGTCTGTTGTTAACAACTTTTCTCATTAAAAACAAATCTGAATGTCTTCAGAATTCACCTCCATTTTTGAAGGATATTTTTGCTGGATATAAAATTCTGGGTTGGCAGTAGATTTTTTTTTTTCTTCCTTCAGCTTTTGAAATGTTCAGTTGACTCTAGCCCTCATTATTTATTTACCTTTTTTCTTTTTAGAGACAGGATCTCGCTTTGTCACCCAGGCTGAAGTGCAGTGGTGTGATCATAGCTCAGTGTAGCCTCAAACTCCTGAGCTCAAGAGATCCTCCTGCCTCAGGCTTCTGAGTAGCTGGAACTATAGGCACACCACCATGTCCAGCTAATTTGTTGTTGTTGTTGTTGTTGTTGTTGTAGAGATGGGGGTCTCTCTATGTTGCCCAGGCTGGTCTGGGTTATGAGATTGGCTAATTTTTGTATTTTTGGTAGAGATGGGGTTTCACTATGTTGCCCAGGCTGATCTCAAACTCCTGGCCTCAAGCGATCCACTGGCTTTGGCCTCCCAAAGTGCTGGGATTACAGGTGTGAGCCCTCAGGCCTGGCCAGTAAATATATTTTTTAACTTGACAAGGTACGTATTAGTAAATCTGGGTCTAGTGGTTTTTTAAAAAAGGATATTTGTATATGCTTGTATATTAAAAAAAATTAACTCTGGAAGGGTAGAAAAGAGATTGGTTATGGTGGCTGTTTCTGGGAAGGGGAACTGCCTGGCTAGGAGCAAAGAGTAGGAGGGAGACTTACCTTATCCTATATTGTCTTTTGTCCTCTTATATTTGGGTAGGTTCATATTACGTATCCCCCTCCCAGATAATTCTTTTTAGTTTGGAGAATTCACATTAAAAAAGAAAACTCATCTGTTGCTATGATCACATATGATCTTGAAGTTCCCTTGTTCTTTGGGAACTTCTCTAGATCCTTGCTTCTTTGAATGTGGTCCAGCACTTGCAGATTAAGCATTACCTGAGTGCCTCAGGTTAGACATGCAGACAGGCCTACTGAAGGAGAATGCGCTTTTAGCAAGATGCACAGGTGATTCTGCGTACACATTAAATTTAAGAAGCATAGCTCTAGACATCATCATACTACCTACCACGCTATTGCGATATTTTCATTTTTTCCCGTCTAGGCTGTGAGCTACATAGACACATTGTCTTTTATAACTCCATCCCCTAAACTTACACAGTAATTGGTACAGATTACACACTCAATAAATGCATATAAAATGCATAAAATAGGGATTATGGCACACCTTCTAAGAGGTTGTTTGCTTTTGGAAGAGGGCTGCGCCTGAGGCTTGCTGGCTGTGTTTCATTCCTAGGTTTGCGTCAACTATTACCCTCTAGCTAATGACAGGAAGCCCTCCATCATGGGCCTACCAGCACAATCTGTCATCCCAACCACATAGCAAATGCTTTTTCACCTCTTGATGGTACTGTTAACTTGTTAGGGAATATATATATTTTTTTAAGTCAGAGATCAGAGAGTGGTTTATTTGGTGGCTTAGGTTGGGATATTAGGAACATCCCAGAAAATCCTTAAAAACAGGGCAAAGAAGAATGAAATTAGATTAGGCCACAGCCATTATTCCTTGCCTAGAAGAGAGGAGAAGGCTAGAAAGAGATCTGAAATTTGTCAGGCATAGAGTGAGAAAGTGGAAGCAAGGGGATGAGAAGGGTGGCAAGAGTAGAAGACAAGATAACAAAGATCCATATGGGAAGAATGGGCATTTTCCATCACCATCAGGCCCAAGGACAGAGAAGAGAAGGAAAGTTTGAGTCCCATCTAGTGCTTGATGCCTGCTAAATGCCTACCAAATTAAGTGCAAATGCTTTAGCCTGCATTCAAAACTCTCTACATAATGTCCAAATCTCACCTATCAGCCACACTTTCCATTACCCCCTGTGTGTACTGCATCACTTAATATTTGTCCTCACTGATCTGGATCATTTCTAACAATGTCCTATTGACCTGGACTGTCATCTTGTCTGGTCTCCTTCTATAAAAATCCTACCAACCCTTCAAGGCTCTTTCAAAATGCCCTACTTCCTTGAAGGCTTTTTTCTTTTTCCTTCAATGGATGCCTGGTTCTGCCCCTTTGTAGAGAATACGCTTTTGTGACTTTTATCTTCAAGTCTAGTTATTTGTGTACTTGATTCCTTTTATTCAACTGCAAATGTCCCTTGCTTTTCTGTCTCTTTCAATTTCCTGGAGCAGAGTCCCAAAATACAGATCAATGCCCAAGACATTTATTGGATAAGGTAGGTGAAAAACATTTAATTCATTGCAGTGAACCGATAGATACCTTACTGGAGTGCTTTCCTTCTAAAAAATCATCTCTCACTCTATTTTAAAACTTTGAAGACACTCTTTGTCAGGCAAATCGACTTCCTTTTCTATCTGCTGGTCTTCTTGGTCCCATGAACAATTCAACCTCCGTCTCTTACTGCCAATAGCTCATCTTCAAACATACATTTAACCTGGTGTACTAACATAGCAGACTGTTCTCACCCATGGTTTTAATCATTCACAAGTGGCATGGGAGATTGATGACATGCTGTAACTTATAATCTTCCTGAGACATGAATTTGTAAGAGCTTCCCAGTGTACAGGAGTGTCATTTGTAGATGAGTGTAACTAGCTGACATCCTAACACATCTCAACACAGCCTTGTTTGCTATTCACTCTAGAATCGGTCACACAGGAGTGAAAGCCCAAAGTCTCAGCGAATTAACGACCTTAGATAATTCAACGACCACCATGCCTGGCTAATTTTGTATTTTTTTTAGTAGAGATGGGGTTTCTCCATGTTGGTCAGGCTGGTCTCGAACTCCTGACCTCAGGTGACCCACCCACCTCAGCCTCCCAAAGTGCTGGGATTACAGGAATGAGCCACCACACCAGGCCAGTTATCAACATTTTTGGGATACATTTGCATTAACTAATCCACAGTTTACCTTAGCATTCACTCTTTGTGTTGTATATTCTATGGGTTTTCACAAATGCAAAATGTCATGGACCCACCATTACAGCATTATACGGAATAGTTTCACTGTGCTAAGAATGCTCTATGCTCTGCCTGTTCAGCCCTTCCTCCCTCCCCCAGAATCCCTATCTCTATAGTTTTGCCTTTTCCTGATCTTTGTACTGTCTCTATATTTTTGTCTTTCCTTGAAAGTTATGAAGTTGGAATCATAAAGTATGTAGGCTTTTTAGATTGGCTTCGTTCACTTAACAATAGCATTTAAGCTTCCTCCATGTCTTTTTGGGGCTGAATAGCTCATTTCTTTTTATTGTTGAATAATATTCCATTGTACAGCTGTAACACAGTTTATCATTCACCTATTCAAGGACATTTTGGTTGTTTCTAGTTTGGGGCAGCTAAGAATAAAGCTGCTTCAAGACCAGCCTAGGCAACAAAAAAATAAAATTAGCCGGTGTGGTGGTGCTCACCTGTAATCTCAGCTAGCTACCTCGGGGGCTGAGGTGGGAGGCTCCTCTGAGCCTGGGGAGGTTGAGACCACACTGAGCCATGATTGAGCTACTGCCCTCCACTCTGGGTGACAGATTGAAACCCTATCTGAAAAGAAAAAGAAAAAAAAAATAAAGCTGCTATAGCATTTGTGTTTAGGTTTTTGTGTGGACATATGTTTTAACTTCCTTTGGAAAAACACCTAGGTGTTGCTTGCTGGATCATATTGTGTACGGAATTGGTGGGTTCTTGGTCTCACTGACTTCAAGAATGAAGCCGCGGACCCTGGCGGTGTTACAGCTCTTAAGTTGGCGCGACAGGAGTTTGTTCCTTCTGATGTTCGGATGTGTTCAGTTTCTTCCTTCTGCTGGGTTCGTGGTCTCGCTGGCTCAGGAGTGAAGCTGCAGACCTTCGCGGTGAGTGTTACAGCTCTTAAGGCGGCGCATCTGGAGTTGTTCGTTCTTCCCAGTGGGCTCATGGTCTCGCTGGCTTCAGGAGTGAAGCTGCAGAACTTCGCAGTGAGTGTTACAGCTCATAAAAGCAGTGTGGACCCAAAGAGTGATTAGTAGCAAGAGTTATTGCAAAAAGCCAAAGAACAAACTTTCCACAGCGTGGGAAGGGACCTGAGCTGGTTGCTACTGCTGGCTCTGGCAGCTGGCTTTTATTCTCTTATCTGGCCCCACCCACATCCTGCCGATTGGTCCATTTTACAGAGAGGGAGTGGTCTGTTTTGACAGGGTGCTGATTGGTGCGTTTACAATCCCTGAGCTAGACACAAAGGTTCTCCACATCCCCACCAGAGTAGCTAGATACAGAGTGTCCACACAAAGGTTTTCCAAGTCCCCACCAGAGTAGCTAGATACAGAGTGTGGACTGGTGCATTCACAAACCCTGAGCTAGACACAGGGTGCTGATTGGTGTGTTTACAAACCTTGAGCTAGAGACAGAGTGCCGATTGGTGTATTTACAATCCCTGAGCTAGACATAAAGGTTCTCCACGTCCCCACCAGACTCAGGAGCCCAGCTGGCTTCCCCCAGTGGATCCCACACCGGGGCTGCAGATGGAGCTGCCTGCCAGTCCTGCGCGGTGCGCCCGCACTCCTCAGCCCTTGGGTGGTCAATGGGACTGGGCGCCGTGGAGCAGGGGTGGCGCTCGTCGAGGAGGCGCGGGCCGCCCAGGAGCCCACGGAGCGGGTGGGAGGCTCCCGCATGGCGGGCTGCAGGTCCCGAGCCCTGCCCCACGAGAAGGCAGCTAAGGCCCCGGCGAGAAATCCAGCGCAGCGCCGGTGGGCTGGCACTGCTGGGGGACCCAGTACACCCTCCGCAGCCGCTGGCCCAGGTGCTAAGCCCCTCATTGCCCGGGGCCGGCAGGGCCGGCCCGCTGCTCCGAGCGCCAGGGCCCGCCAAGCCGACGCCCACCCGGAACTCCAGCTGGCCCGCAAGCGCCGCGCGCAGCCCCGGTTCCCGCTCGCGCCTCTCCCTCCACACCTCCCTGCAAGCTGAGGGAGCGGGCTCCGGCCTTGGCCAGCCCAGAAAGGGGCCTCCTACAGTGCAGTGGTGGGCCGAAGGACTCCTCAAGTGCCGCCAAAGTGGGAGCCCAGGCAGAGGAGGCGCCGAGAGCAAGCGAGGGCTGTGAGGACTGCCGGCACGCTGTCACTTCTCAATATGGTAAGTCAATGTTTAGTTTTTTAAGGAACTGTCAAACTGTCTTTCAAAATGGCTGTGTCATTTTGCATTCCCAACATCAATAAATGAGAGTTCCTGTTGTTCCATATCTTGGCCAGCATTTGGTATTGTCAGTGTTTTCGATATTGGACATTCTAATAGGTGCATAGTGGTATTTCATTGTTTATTTTGCAATTTCCTTATAATATATGATGTTGAGCCTTTTTCATATGCTTAATTGCCATCTGTATATAATCTTTGATGAAGTATCTGTTCAGATCTTTTGCTGAGATTTTAAAATGAGATTGTTCATTTTCTTATTGTCAAGTTCTAAAAGTTCTTCGTAAATTTTGGATTACAAATCCTTTATCAGATATGTATTTTGCAAATATTTTCTTCCAGTCTACAGCTTGTCTTTTTCATTTTCTTAACAATATCTTTCAAAGAACATAAGTTTTTAATTTAATAAAGTTCAACAGATCGTTTTTTTTCTTTCATGGATTATGCTTTCGGTGTTGTATCTAAAAAGTCATCACCAAGCCCAAGGTCATTTGGATTTTCTTCTATATTATCTTCTAAAAGTGTTATAGTTACGTGTTTTACATTTAGTTCTGTGATCTACTGTGAGTTAATATTTGTGAAAGGTGTAAGATCTGTGTCTATGCTTGTTTTATGTTGTTTTGTTTTGCATATACACATTCAGTTATTCCAGCACCATTTTTTAAATAGACTATCCTTGCTCCATTGAATTGCCTTTACTCTTTTGACAAGATCACTTGACTAAATTTTTATGGATATATTTTTAGGCTCTGTTCCATTGATTTATTTGTCTATTTTTCTACTAGTATCATACTATCTTGATTATTGTAGCTTTATAGTAAGCCTTGAAGTTAAGTAGTGTTAGCCTTCTGGCTTTGTTGTTGTTGGTTTTTGTTTTTTTTTGTTTGTTTGTTTGTTTGCGATAGCGTTTTGCTCTGTCACCCGGGCTATCAGGCAATCTTCCCACCTCAGCCTCTCAAGTAGCTAGGACTATAGGCACACACCACCACACCCAACTAATTTTTTAAAACCAGTTTTGTAGAGATGGGTTCTTGCTATGTTGCTCAGGCTGATCTTGAACTCCTGGCCTCAAACGGTCCTTCTGCCTCAACTTCCCAAAATGTTGGGATCACAGGCTACCACACCTAGCCTGTTCTTCTTTTATATTATATTAGCTGTTCTAGGTCATTTGCCTTTTCATATAAATTTTAGAATCAGTTTAAAATAACTTGCTGGAATTTTGATTGGGATTGTGTTGAATCACAACACAATATATATCAGGTTGGGAAGAACTGATATCTTAACAATAATGAGTTTTTCTATCCATGAACATCAAATATCTATCCATTTATTTATATCTTAATTGATTTCTTTCATCAGAATTTTATAGTTTTTCTCATATAGCTCTTATACATATTTTGCTAGTCTTATACATATTTTGTTAGTTTTATACCTAAGTATTTCTTTTTTTGGTGCTAATGTAAATGGTATTGCGTTTTCAATTTCAAATTCCAGTTGTTCATTGCTGGCAAATAATAAAGCAATTGACTTCTGTATATTAACCTTATGTCTTGCAACCTCGTTATAATTATTTATTCATTTCAGGATATTTTTTTTTTTTTTTTTTTTTTTTTTTTTTTTTGAGACGGAGCACTCTATCGCCCAGGCTGGAGTGCAGTGGCGGAGTGCAGTGGCGCGATCTCGGCTCACTGCAAGCTCCGCCTCCCAGATTCACGCCATTCTCCTGCCTCAGCCTCCCGAGTAGCTGGGATTACAGGTGCCCGCCACCACGCCCAGCTAATTTTGTTTTTGTATTTTTAGTAGAGACGGGGTTTCACCGTGTTAGTCAGGATGGTCTGGATATCCTGACCTCGTGATCCGCCCGCCTCGGCCTCCCAAAGTGCTGGGATTACAGGCATGAGCCACCGCACCCGGCCTCAGGAAATTTTTTGAATTTTCTACATAGGCAAGTTAACATGTAATCTGCAAAGTTTTATTTATTTCTTCCCAATCTGTATACATTTTGTTTTGTTTTAAATTTTTTTTAATTTTTGTGGTTACATAGTAGGTGTATATATTTATGAGTTACATGGGATACTTTGATGCAGCCATGCAATGTGTAATGAGGACATCAGGGTAAATAGAGTAACCATCCCCTCAAGCATTTATCTTTTGTGTTTTAAACAATGCAATTATGCGTTCAGTTTTTGTTTTTGTTTTTTTTTGAGACGGAGTCTCCTCTGTCTCCCAGGTTGGAGTGCAGTGGTGCGATCTCAGCTCACTGCAAGCTCTGCCTCCCAGGTTCATGCCATTCTCCTGCCTCAGCCTCCCTGTAGCTGGGACTACAGGCACCTGCCACCACACCTGGCTAATTTTTTGTATTTTTAGTAGAGACAGGGTTTCACCGTGTTAGCCAGGATGGTCTCGATTTCCTGAGCTTGTGATCCGCCCTCCTTGGCCTCCCAAAGTGCTGGGATTACAGGTGTGAGCCACCGCATCTGGCCTTCTTTTAGTTATTTTTAAATGAACAATTAAATTATTTTTTACTATAGTCACCCTATTATGCTAACAAATATTGGGTTTTATTTATTCTTTCTAACTTTTTTTTTGTACCCATTAACCATCCCCACTCCCCCACCACCCTTCCCAGCCTCTGTTAACCATCCTTCTACTCTCTATCTTCATGAGTTCAATTGTTTCCATTTTTAGCTCCCACAGATACTTAAGAACATGCCATGTTTGCCTTTCTGTGCCTGGCTTATTTCACTTAACATACTGACCTCCAGTTCCACCCGTGTTGTTGCAAATGACAAGATCTCATGCTTTATTATGGCTGAATAGTACTCCATTGTGTATATGTACCACATTTTATTTTTCTATTTGTCTATTAATGGACACAGATTGCTTTCAAATCTTGGTTATTGTGAACAGTGCTGCATTATTTCCTTTTCTTGTCCTGTTGCATTAGCTAGGACTTCCAGGATAAAATAAGGGGGAAATAAAATATTAAGATCTATATTTCTGGCTTGTCTTATGAAAAAAATTAGAGAACTGGGCATGCAGCCCATCTTGGCAGCCTTTGGCTAGAATTGAGCAATGATTACCCATTTTAAATAGGGTATCTTCTTCTAGTTCACTGCAGTCTTCACCACTTCCTGGTAATAAACACTTTATCTCTTTGTGAAAAATGACATTTGAGATTAAACTTTCTCTTTAAATTGAAAAACATGGTCCAGGGATACCAGGATCTGCACAAAAATCAGATAAAACTCTCTATGGACATGTGACTTGGAAGACAGGAGCCTCCGCAGACAGCTCCCCATTATAAATTTGGAGGTTCACTAAGATCTCCAAATATCCCCTGGTATATGTTTATGATCTCCTAAACAGGCAGCCCCCATCTTATCTCACCTCAGTCACAGCAACCCATTCTATAACCTAGATCTTAAAACTCACCTCTTATGCTCCCTATCTTTGGTCTACAAAGCCTCACTCAGCTCTCACCCTTGAGGTTGGTTCATACCTTTCCATTGCCCTCTATTATTGCCATTCAGTAGTAGTGCCACATGCATGTCACTCTTCCTGCCTCTGCAATTGTTATTGTACAGAATACCTGGGTGTCATAGTAATCCAGTGAGGCGAACCTATGTTGTTAGTGCTCTAACTCCACCGTAATTACTCTAGAATACATTTTGTACTTCAGTTCAGTTGTACTATGGAAATTTATCATCATGATTACACCATTTATTTATGGAAACATATATTGGAATTCCAAACAAATAACTTAAGATGAAATACAACGTGTTGCTGCATTGAAGCCACCTGTAGCCCAGTAAGTGCAGGAAGACCATTTTGACAAACAGAAGTCAACTGCTTCAGAGCTTTGTGCCAGGTGGGACAAATCTGGAGTTTGTGTGTAGAGCTGTATCATGTCACTGTGTGTGCACGTGCAGCATGTGTGCCGACATGAGCATTCTCATGTGTACGTGTGTAGAGGATAAGAGAGAGAGGAAGCAGCATCACATCATCACAGTTCACCCACCTAACGTCCTTTCTTTTTTTGTTTTTGTTTTTGAGATGGAGTCATGCTCTATCACCCAGGCTGGAATGCAACGGCTTGATCTCGGCTCACTGCAGCCTCCACCTCCTGGGTTCAAGTGATTCTCCTGCCTCAGCCTCCCAAGTAGCTGGGATTACAGGCACCCACCAAAATGCCCATCTAATTTTTGTATTTTTAGTAGAGATGTGGTTTCACCATGTTGGCCAGGCTGGCCTCAAACTCCTGACCTCAAGTGATCTGCCTGCCTTGGCCTACCAAAGTGCTGGAATTACAGGCGTGAACCAGCGCACCCGGCCTACAGTTCACCCAATGTTCTGATTGGAACATTTTGCTTCTAAGAACTTTGGCCTTTACAGGTTTCATATTCTTTATTCTTTGCATTTCCTTTTTTCTTTGCAGCTGAGTGTCATCTGCTGCAAATAGCCAACTAGCTTCAAGGATCTCCTTTTGAATTCCAGAAGAAAATTAACTGGGTCACAGGGTAATGAAGATAAGTGTGGGCAAACTTCTTGAAGCTCTAAGCAGCGTTTCTCAATCTGGATGCACACAAGAATCACTAGAGGCTGGGCATGGTGGCTCACACCTGTAATCTTAGCACTTTGGGAGGCAGAGGCGAGTGGATCACTTACGGCCAGTCTGGCCAACATGGTGAGACCCCATCTCTACTAAAATACAAAAAACAAACAAACAAAAAACTAGCTGGGTGTGGTGGCACATGCCTGTGGTCCCAGCTACTTTGGAGGCTGAGGCAGGAGAATCACTTGAACCCAGGAGGCAGAGGTTGCAGTGAGCCGAGACCACGCCACTGCACTCCAGCCTGGGTGACAGAGTGAGACTCCGTCTCAAAAACAAAAACAAACAAACGAACAAAAAACCTACCAATGCCTGGGCCTACTTCAGACCAATTGAATTGGATTCTCCAGAGTGGGGCCCAGGAAATAAGTGTGTAGGCACACACACACACACACACAGGTGTTTTAATGGAATGTGCAAATTGGGTTGAGAACCACTTCTCTAAAGGTGTGATGCTTAAGCCTGTGCCTTTTCAGGTGTGATGCTAGCACCCAATAAGCTTATTTGAGCAAGGATCCCATATCCACTCCCACAGAGGAACAGTTTATAGATGCCTTTCTTTTGTGACATTACAGGCATCTGACACATTAGGAGAGAACTAGGTTTCCTTTTTCAATGTTCTTTCAAAGGAGGAGGAGGAGGGACAATCGAAACCCAGCAAGATAATTGAAGCAAATAACTCCAGGCACAGATAACAAAAAGTTCTTCCGCATATCCATTAAATAAAAGCAATTGTTCCTTTTAGAGGAAACAAAATTTTTACTAAGTCTTCTCCTCTCTGCAATTACCTATACATTTCTAAATTAACTTGCAGGTGCTGAGACATTCCTGGTTGAAAGAACAGTCTCCTTCTCCTGACCCCCTCCTCCAAAATGATTTCCTTTTCTTTCTTTCTTTCTTTCTTTTTTTTTTTTTTTTGGTGCAAGGTGGGAAAGCAGGAGGAGAGGAAGTAGAGGAAGTTCTTTATGTGTTCAAAGGGAACACATGAAATCTTATCAAGTCAGGAATCCAATTAAAATACTTTCTCTCTGGCTCATTCATCAGTTGGGTAAGAGCTGGAAAGGGAGACAATTTATGAGTATTAGTTCCATTAGAACAGATTGGTCAGTATCTGGCGTGCCTACGACGGGTCAAGCCTCCAGAAGAGGGTAATTTGTGGAATAAACAACCAGAAACCAACACCCAATGTCTTAATCAAAACAGGGGGTCATATCCAGTTACTATCCCAAGTAAATCAGGAGTGAGGAAAGCTGATCTGCTTTAGAAACTAAACTGACTTTCTTCTGGGGTTGGGGAATTATGCTCCATCCTCAGGGGCTGGGATATCTAGTCAGGGGTGCTGATTCATTCTCTCTGAATCCACAGGTGGGGACCTTAGAGTTCATGACTCTGGGGTAAGGAGAAATTGAGGAGGCTGAATGACATGGTTTGGATCTGCGTCCCCACCCAAATATCATGTTCAGTTGTAATCCTCAATGTTGAAGATGGGGCCTGGTGGGAAGTGCTTGGATCATGGGGGCAGATTTCCCCTATGGTGCTGTTGTCGTGATAGTGAGTTCTTCTGAGATCTGGTTGTTTAAAAGTGTGTGACACCTCCCTTTCTTCTCTTCCTCCTGCTCTGGCCATGTGAAGTGCCTGCTCCCCCTTCACCTTCCACCATGATTGCAAGTTTCCTGAGGCCTCCCCAGAAGCCAAGCAGATGCCAGCATCGTGCTTCCTGTACAGCCTGCAGAACAATGAGCCAATTAAAACTCTTTTCTTTATAAATTACCCTGTCTCAGGTATTTCTTTATAGCAATGCAAGAATGAACTAATACAGTGAATATCTGGGGCAGTGGGGGAAACAGAAGTAAGGCATTAGTAGGAATGAGAGATATGAGAGATGGGAGAGGGGTCCACATTTAGATCCTATCTGTAACTCATTTACTCTTCCTGCACACTGACTCATCTCTGAGCTAGGAGATGCTCGTATGGACTGCAGAAGTTTGGCTCTTGTATTTAGAGTGGAATGGTGTCCTGAGCTCTTGCTGGTCATTGATGAGTACAGGGAAGAGGGCATGGCTATAGTGACTGGTCAGCTGGAATCACCATCACATCAGGAAAAATGACTGAAGAGCCACGCTCTAAGGATGCTGTCATCATAGCAGGAGACACATAGTCTTCTATGCTGTCATTACCACAGCTCCTATCAGACTTGCCCTGACAGGCCAGTTTAGTTAGAGTGGAGAGACTCATTGGGAATGAAGAGACTGGGGCCCATGAGGCACTGACACAGGCAGGACAGGGAGACAGCCGAGTTGCAGGAGGACTGGGAGCCGTGGTCCCCAATACATAGTCTAGTGTGCCAACCTTGTTTCTTATCTCTGTGAACTTTCACTTTTCTTTTTTCCAGAACTTGACTTCAGGATTCTAAAAATAAAAAGAAAACAACAAAAAGGCCTGGCATGGTGGCTCCCTCCTGTAATCCCAGCATTTTGGGAGGCCAAGGCAGGAGAATCACTTGAGCCCAGGAGTTTGAGACCAGCCTGGGCAACATAGTGAGACCCCATCTCTATTTAAAAAACAAAACAAATAAAAAACAACAAAAATAATATCCATGTATAGTCATACATCTAGTATATACCAGGCACACACAACAACTCTTTTGCTTATTTTCTTTTGCCCATACTAACCCTCCCCTCACCCACTTCCTGCCCTTATCTTTCTCTTCAGCTTCCTGTTGGGTTTGGCCAAGGATGGGAGACAGTAATGGAGGTCAGAGAATGACAGGACAGAAAAATAGGGGTATTTGTTTTCCACATCTCCATGTCTATAGCCCCTAGGCCAGAACCATTTTTCATGGGCTTACAGAATGCCCCATTTATTGCCATGATATCTGTATTAGTCCATTCGTGCACTGCTATAAAGAAATACCTGAGACTGGGTAACTTATAAAGAAAAGGGGTTTAATTGGCTCATGGTTCTGCAGGCTGTACAGGAAGCATGGCTGGGGAGGCCTCAGGAAACTCACGATCCTGGTGGAAGGTGAAAGGGAAGCAGGCACATCTTACAGGGCTGGAGCAGGAAGAAGAGTGTGAATGGGGAGGAGCTACACACTTTTAAACAACCAGGTCTCCTGAGAACTCACTCACTATCACGAGAACAGCAAGGGGGAAATCCGTCCATGATCTAGTCACCTCCCACCAGGCCCCTCCTCCAACACTGGGAATTACCATTCAATATGAGATTTGGGCGGGGACACAGAACCAAACCATATCAGCATCCCTCACAGCACTGCCTCCTTTGAATGAACTCACATGCCAAAGGAAGGGTGGCAGAGCTGGGCCTAGAGAAAGCAAGTAGCTGCCCCATGCTCCTCAGCTAGAAAAGGGAGTCAACAGTCAAACCAGAGTTGATTCTGAACTCCCTGCTGTTTCCACCAAAGTGGCTGCACCTCATTATGGCCATGGTGGATACGTCTTCTAATATCATGGCAAAATGTCTGCCCCGCATTGAGCCTCAACAAAGGCGATTTAAAATGTTACCAGGAGAAAACAGGATGCTGTGGTGGAAAGTGCATTGAACTGAATGAGGGTGGTGAGGTTTGAGGGCTGTCTCTTGCTGTCTGAGACAACAGGTGGGTATGTTACCTCACTTCTCTTGACCTCAGTTAGTGCTCCCCAACAGAAGGAGGGCAGAGAGCCAAAGGGGAGGTTGAGACCACCCTGGCTCCGGGATGCTTCCCACCCACATCCAGTCGCCATTAACCAGAGCAATTCCTTGTGCAGTTGGGTCCTCATTCCTTCTCCTTTGCAAGGTGAATCCTGATTCTATTCACCCCCATCTGAATGGCTGTGTGCTTTGGCGGAAGAACCCACCCAGAAGGGACCTTTATCAGTCCCTTATAGCCTGTTGACCTCGTTTCCCTTTCCAAGGGACTGCTTTGCATGGGAGAGAAAGGCACTTCTGGCTGAAAAGATGTAAGGGAAACTTGCAAGAGGCTCTCTGGGAAGGGATTCCTTGCTTTTAAGAAGTTACGCAAGTGAAGGGATTTCTCTGTTTCCCACAGAAGCCATGAGGAAAGCCATCCTAAGAGGACACCACTCTATGGATAGGAAAGGGGATAGACGCGAGGAATCCGGGTCCTTGTTGTTGGCATTGGCCCCTTATTTAAATAACCCTGGAACTGCCCTCTCTCACCTAACTTCTGGTTTTATGAATAGTAAATGTTCCTACAATGTATGGATAATGTATTCAAACTCCTATGGTTCAAACTCTTTTCTGCTGGGTCTTCAGACTGTGGTTCTTATATTCATTTCTAATATCCAAGGACATTGTCTAATGGAGATAGTTCTGTCCTGATCATTTTTGGATCTTCTTATTTTGTTGTCTTTTCCAAACTACTATGTATTTCCTTTAAACGGTCACCCCAGCCAGGTATGGTCAAGTATCACATAATAAACACTCTAGAAATTTAGGAATCACTGTCATCTGAATTTGCTGCCTTTAGTGTTCTCTATTCTCAATTCTCCCAGCTTTAAACGTTTTCTTCATTACCCAGTATTCAACTCTCTCTCTTCCTTGGGTTTGACTTTGAGTCCTGCCTTTTCTATGTTGGCTTTAACTTCCCATTGGTTAAGATCCAGGGACTGAAGATTCTACTGCCTTCCCATGATTTCGGTAATGTCCCTAGGATTTTCCCTCCCATTTCCTACCTCCATGTTATCCCCTTGATTCCCTTCTGGGTCATCTCAGTATCTTTGCTTCTAATCCTTTTTTGTTAGGGTTTCTCTTCTGGGCTCTACTGCTAGCACATCTGCTTGCTCAGTCCAGAGGTTTTATCCAGTTGCTGGGACTCTGTAGTCTGTCTGCACTGGCTCTAAGTTCCCTCCCTTAAGTGCTGAGTTGTCATCAACTCTGCTTCCCAAGAGGGTTGCTCCTCTTGCGTGTGCACTTTATGAAAAAAGCCAGCAGCAGCTGTTACCTAGGAAGAGTTTCTTCCTCTGCGGAGTTCTGCACAGTTGTCTCTGCCCCTTCGCTGACAGACAGAAATTTAAATCTTGCTCTGGATATTTTTGATGCAAAGAGACACACTCTCAAACGACGCAACTCTGTTTTATGCTGCTGACCACCTTCTCATCCCCAGGCTTAGAAACCAGGCCTCCTTCTGTTTGGTATTAGATATTTTAGGTATTTTGGTATTTATATGAGAACTACATTAGGAGCTGAGAGGTATGCAAAAATGTACAAAAAGTCTCCCTGCCCTTGTTTTAGTAAGAGATGTCTGCCTACCTTCCAGCTCTTAAATTCCGTGCTTCCAAATAAGAGAGTAAAATATTCCACTTTATGGATTGCTAACAGATTCTTGGACTGAAGCAAAAGTCAACCTTAACACACCTGATTGGATAACAATGCAAAGTACAGTGGTATAACATGTGCAATGCATTGTCTTTTCCTTCTAAAAACTCATTTTATGAAACTCCTGAATTGAATCAGGCTTGAACTTCCTGTGGCATAAAACCAAATAGAATTACACCAATGCTAAAAATGTAAATGTATCCCAGATACCAGACTGATGTATTCATGGGAACATTTAAGCCTGAAGACTTGCATGCACGCATTTTGATGATGAAGCAGAGCCCAATGATCAAGCATTTGAGATAGAAACATTTATGGGAAATTTTTTTAAATTCTCTGTTTTCTTAGGATTTTAAAACTAGTTTTGACTTTGAAAGCCTAGAATGTCAGATCTGGGAAGATCTCGAAGAGATCATTGGTTCATTCTTCAGATGGTGAAAGCGTGCCTGGAGGAGTAAAGAGACCATCCAAAGGCATTCCAAGTACTAATGGAGCCGAGGCCAGGTCAGTTCAGCACACCTGCATTCAGTTTCTACTTTGTGCCTGTGACTGCCCTGGACATTGAGATCCAGACGTAAAGACACAATGACTGTTCTTGAGGTCGCCTCCAAAGTGTTCAGATGTCCAGGTCAGTTCTTCTTCTGCTTTCTTTCTCAATTCCGAATAGATTTATTGAGAAATAGGAAACGCTATATTTTATTTAATAATTGATCAGGCACGGTGGCTCACACCTGTAATCCCCTGAGGCGGGCAGATCATGAGGTCAAGAGATCAAGACCATCCTGGCCAACATGGTGAAACCTCATCTCTACTAAAACAAAAATTTGCTGGGTGTGGTGGTGCACGCCTGTAGTCCCAGCTACTCAGGAGGCTGAGGCAGGAGAATCGCTTGAACTCAGGAGGTGAAGGTTGCAGTGAGCCGAGATCCAAAATAATAATAATAATAATAGAGCATGCTTAGGGGAGCAGGAAAAAATAAAGGAATATCTTCCTATCTCCTAGTCTTGAGACGCATTCCCCCAGCAGAATCCTACACTGAATGGCAGAGGGTCAATTAGCTCTGCCCATTGCAACTTCTTTCAGTGCCCGTAATTCCACTGCAGAAGCTTAATTCTTATTATTCATTCATAACACATCAATGGATAGCCACAGCCTGGTGACATTTCGGCTCATCACCCTCTCCCTGTTCAGTGGCAGGTTAGGGGTTATCCTTTGGAGAATGCATGTATGACATGCTTATTTTCCTTTTTTGGGGGGTGGGAAAAGCAAGAGAAGGCAGCAACCCAAGTAGGAAAATTGCTCAGGGTGATGCTACTCTACTAGTGTGAAGATTTTGGCTCTGATGTTGGGACCTGCTATCTCTCTTTTAGTGCTGTTGCCAGGCAGACTTGTTACTGACACAAATTTTCCTCCCTGATAAGTTGAACTCTCCCCCCTCCCAACTTCATTATGCCTGCTGCCGGAGCTCTGCTATAGAGGAAGCCATGCCAGACACTGTGATTCACGTGCCTAAAATATCAACTGGCCTGAGTATGCGAGTGAGGCGATAAATCTGGAAAACATAAATCAGATCATCAGATGCTGTATCTGTTCCTGCACACAGGCTGCAGCAGCCATGGCAAAATGCCCTCCAACTCTGAGAGCTACACCCAGGTGGAGGTTAAAGGATATGACTTACAGACCAAGGAAAGCTGGGTGAGGAGGGCCAGAGCTGATATGCAGAAGAGGCCTTAAAACCACTGACATTCAGCACAGACACCAGACATGAGACTGGATTCAGCCTCTAAGACTGCAGGGAGAGGCTGGACAAGGAAGCATAAAGAGAGGTCCCAAAATCTTCTAAAGTAAAGAACTTGGGCCAATGTGTAGTCCCTGAATCTGGACATGAGAGAGAAGACAGGCTTCAGCTTCACTAGGAACTCTGTCAAGATGGAAAATAGAATTTACAGACTCTGGTAGGTGGAGAGCCTCCTTAAAGAACACTCTAGAAAAAAACAACCAACACTGCCCTTCCTTTAGTGAACAGAGAAAAGTGCTCCCATTGAGCCACTTAATCATTCCAAAGCACAGAAGAGAAGGGCCTTATCTCTGTAGCTGAGGCTAGGCCATCAGATCACAGGCTTTCTTGACCTGGGCCTGGGGACAGCTGGCTTGTTCACAAATGACAGTGCTCCTCCGGGTCTGACATGCCAGGATTACTAGTTCCAAAGTAGTTTTGGAACCGTAGGAAAGTAAGGAGGGTTCATAGTTCAAATTTCTAAACCTCAAACCCTGCTTTGTCAGGGTTAGGTCCTGCTGCATCAATATGACTCTACCCAAAAATCACATCAGACCCTCTGGGGCTTTGTGCCTGGGGATGCGGGAGAATGACTGGGAGTAGACAGGAAACAGACATAGGATGAGGTGGAGCTGGGAGCAGCATTGGATATCCATTTAAGGAAGTTAAGCAGCGATCCAGGTTCCACCCCAAAATGTCCAAGAGTTACACCCTAGGGAGCAAAGGAAGACCCATGAGTGGATTGAAAGGCTCCACCTGACATCATGGTATCAGATGAATATGGCCAGTGCACCTGTCTCCAGGCATCAGCCAGTGAGAACATCTCAATGCACCACAAGGTGAAATGCTGAGAAATTCATTGTAGCTTATCTCTTTTGCTACTATGACCTGTCAGCAAAAACAATGGAAAGATAATTTTCCCCTTTCCCTTCCAGCAAAGGCAGCCAGGGCTTTGTGTTCCCAGACCTGGGTGCCTTGACCCCAGGCAGGGAATTTCCAGCTATTTGTGAATCAGGCCCACCTGGGGGAATTAAGGAGGCTTCCAAGAAGGGAGAGGGGTAAGGTATAGAAGTTTTTGTTCTTTGTGAGTAACAGCATGCCAGGGCCTGACCCTGAGGAGGTGGTTGGATCCTGGGAACTTGGAAAACAAGAAAGGGTAAGTTTGTGGGATTCTTCAGATAGTCTGTCCCCTAAACTTTGTGACCCAGCCAGATAAGAGATGGGTGTGAATGTTTAATGATCTTAGACATTGTGGCTTTGGGAGCAGGATTAAGTGTTCTCTTAGGGTGCCTGGGGATGTGGAGAGGAGCCTCAAAGGCCATCTTTGTGGTTGCCTGGAGCAGAAATACCCAACAGAGGCAGGGACCTTCCTTTAGTGAACAGAGAAAAGTGCTTCCATTGAGCCACCTAATCATTCCAACACATGTGTCATGTCAACACATGACAGAGACTTCAAAGAGAAGAAACAGCCACATGACAAGAATGACCCAACTGATGGACAATAAGCTGCCGAATGAGTTAACCTTGATGATCCGCCAGGTCCAAGACTTATAATTCTACATGGCCTCTGTCTCCTCTTTGCAAGCTGATCACGATGCAGAATGACTGACGCAGCACCCATGAACTTCCAGATCACAAGCATGCTCTGTTCTCCTTCCTACCTGGGCTGGGGTGACAGTTGTACAGCTGTGCACCATCTGAGTGCCACCATCTAGTGATAAGTCCATGAGTGTGGATACTAGGGGAAGACATGGGTTGCAGATTGGCCAGGTCTAAGGCGCTGACAAGAAACATTACAAGAGCTTTAGATTTAACTTTAAAAGCTTCTATTCCTTTCATTGTCAGACTGTGAAGCCCACAGCTGCACATCATCAGGCACCAACATGCAGGGGGCCATTTCCTTGTTTGCACAGGAAGCTCCTGCATACTCTGTATTGCTCTAGAGTCACACCACTGAGCCGGCCAAGGTCTCGACTCTGGCCCTGACACGTGGCTGGCTTTGACTTTGCTTTCTGAGTTCAGCTCATTTCCTGGGTCATCTCCCCAGTAAAGACAGCACTGCCTCATCAAGGCAGGTGCTCATCTGGTCATGCTCAAAGTCCCTCGATGCCCTATGACTGGTCAGCGGTCTCAGGGGATGAGATGTGTGGGTGTCAGTTGGCTTCCTCGTGTCCCAGTGCTGTCCCCTTCACCTCTCTTTATCCCACTTTCTAATGTTCACCCTCTCTTCTCCATTAGTAAACTCCCAAGACTTCTTTAAGGTCGACCTTAAACACCCTTCTCTGGGATCCTTCCCAAAACCCCAGGCAGAACTCACTGCTTCTACCTCTACCCTTGGTCCGTGATTTTATTTCATTGTAGATTATAGTTAATTGCTTACCTATCTTCCTTTCTTTTCTTTTCTTTTCTTTTTTTTTTTTTTTTTTGAGATGGAGTTTCACTCTTGTCGCCCAGGCTGGAGTGCAATGGCGATCTTGGCTCGCTGCAACCTCCACCTCCCGGGCTCAAGCGAGTCTCCTGCCTCAGCCTCCCAACTAGCTGGGATTACAGGCGCCCGCCACCACACCTGGCTAATTTTTGTATTTTTAGTAGAGATGGGGTTTCACCACGTTGGCCAGGCTGGTCTCAAACTCCTGACCTCAGGTGATCCACACGCCTTGGCCTCTTGAAGTGCTGGGATTAAGGCATGAGCCACCATGCCTGGCCTCTTTCTCACTTAAAAAATCCTTGGAGAAAAAAAAAGCCATCTTTTACTAATTCCCTGAGCCTTGTGTAAATATAAGTGTAATAAGTATTTTTCCTTATGTCATTTACAAATTCATTTAAAAAGAAATACGGTGTAGGTGGAAAGCCCAAACTAGGGAAATATCTGGTTTCCAAGAGATCATAAGCTATCCACGTCAAAACTTCTGGTAAAATTGCCTGTGGAAAGAGAAATTTTGTGTTTTAGAAAAATTGTAGTAAAATATATGTTAACATAAAATTTACCATTTTAACTATTTTTATGTGTACAATTCTGTGGCATTAAGTACATTCACATTGTTGTGCAACCATCACCACCATCCCTCTCCAGAATGTTTTTATCTTTCCCAACTGAAACTCAGTATCCGTTAAACAATAACTCTTTATTTCCTCCCTCCCACCCAGTCCCTGGCAGCCATGATTCTACTTTCTGTCTCTATGAATTTGACTACTCTAAGTACCTCATATAAGTGGAATCGTATTTGTCCTTTTGCGACGGGCTTGTTTCACTTAGCATAATGTCTACAAGGTTCATCCATGTTGTAGCATGTGTCAGAATTTCCTTCCTGTTTAAGGTTGAATCATATTCCTTGTATATGTATACCACATCTGACTTAGCCATTCATCTGTCAACAGACACTGGATTGCTTCCACCTTTTGGCTATTGCTGCTATGAATATGAGCCTAAAAATATCTGTTCAAATTTCTGCTTTCAATTATTTTGAATACATAGCCGGAGGTAGAATTTCTGGTAATTCTCTCTTTAATTTTTTGAGGAACCACCATACCATTTCCCATGGTGGCCGTACCATTTTAGAGACCCACCAACAATGCACAAACATTCTAATTTCCCCATACCCTCACCAACACTTGTTCTTTTTTTTTTTTGAAATGGAGTCTTGCTCTGTTGCTTAGGCTGGAGTGCAGTGGCGAGATCTTGGCTCACTGCAACCTCCGCCTCCCGGTTCAAGCGATTCTCCTGCCTCAGCCTCCCAAATAGCTGGGATTACAGGTGCCCGCCACTACGCTCGGCTAATTTTTTTGTATTTTTAGTAGAGACGGGGTTTCACCATGTTGTCCAGGCTGGTTTCGAACTCCTGACCTTGTGATCCACCCACCGTGGCCTTCCAAAGTGCTGGGATTACAGGCACGAGCCACCACGCCCAGCCTCTTTTTTTTTTTTTTAATATCCATCCTAACGGGTGTGAAGTGGTATCTCGTTGTGGTATTGATTTGCATTTCTCTAATGATTAGTGATGTTGAACAAAAGATAAATTTCTTTACTAAATATTTTTTAGATTATTAAAGAAATATATCATATACTGTAGAACATTTGGAAAACACAGAAACAAAAATTAAAGGAAAGTGTAGGAACATACAAGAGAAAAAAAACTTTAATTACATAGAGGTAAATACTGTTAACATTTTAGGATATCCTTTCAGTCTTTTTTCCCATGTAAATGAATTTTTCTGGCAAGAATTAATTTTCTTAGCAAGAAGCCCCCACCCAACTCTGCCCCCAGAAGAAAACTTTTTGTTCATTGAGTTATATGCTAAGTTCCCTGAGGGGTATGCTGGAGGAAAAAGATATGTCGTTAGTTTTTTATTTAATACTGGTTTTTTTTGTTGTTTCTGTTTTTTGTTTTGTTTTTTGGCTGAGCAGGCATGAAACAAAGAGTAAGAGTCGAATTGCTCAGGCGATGAGACTTTTAGGGCTGTTGATGCTGGAAGGAAAGCCTTCAACCAGAGAAAAGTAAACAGGTGAGGTGAGGCTGCTGGCAAAGGAAGAGAGCTTTGCAGGAAAGAACAGATATCCATGGAAGACCTTGATTACATTTCTGTCATCACACCAGACCTTCAGTAAAATCTTTATTGTTTACCAGTGCATGGCAAAGTACATTTGCTTGCTAGGAACATCAGGAAGGTGCCAGAAGACGAACAAGGATGAAGAACAAAACAAAGGCTCGTCTCAGGGCTGAAGCAGAAAGAGATAGAGCTCATGTGCTTATAGATAGGGGCCTTTAGAAAGCTTGTGAGGGGGGCCAGGCATGGTGGCTCACGCCTGTAATCCCAGCACTTTGGGAGGCCGAGGCGGGCGGATCACTTGAGGTCAGGAGTTTGAGACCAGCCTGGCCAACATGGTGAAATTCCATCTCTGCCCAAAATACAAAAATTAGCCGGGCATGGTGGCACACACCTGTAATCCCAGCTACTCAGGAGGCTGAGACAGGAGAGTCACTTGAACCCAGGACACAGAGGTTGCAGTGAGCTGAGATATTGCATCACCGCACTCCAGCCTGGGTGACAGAGAGAGACTCTGTCTCACACACACACACACAAACAAAACAAAACAAAATGCTTGGGAGGGACCAGGCAGGGTGGCTCACGCCTGTAATCCCAGCACTTTGGGAGGCCAAGGTGGGCGGATCACCTAAGGTCGGGAGTTGGAGACCAGCCTGGCCAACATGGTGAAACCCCATCTCAGCTAAAAATAAAAAATTAGCTGGGCATGGTGGCTCACACCTGTAATTAGTTGAGAGGCTGAGCAGGAGAATTGCTTGAACCTGGGAGGCGGAGGCTGCAGTGAGCCGAGATCATGCCACTGCACTCCAGCCTGGGTGGCAGAGCAAGACTCCGTATCAAAAAGAAAAAAAAAAATGCTGGGAGGGTACTGTAGACACTGCTCTATTAGCATTTCCCCCTGTGATTTAATAAGCTTCTAAAGCATCCTGTCTGCAGTTAATTATCCAAAGTCCACTTTTTCCTCCTGGGATCTTTTATAGTTAGATGTGGCTGTGTGGCTGAGTTTTAGCCAAGGTAGAGTGAATATGGTTTGTACCATTTCTGGGCCAAGGTTTTTAAGAAGCAGGGGTGTGCCCCTTCCGGCTTCTTCCCTTTCTGCCAGCTTAATGAGGGTGATAACAAGGCCTTAGGGGATGTGGGAGCCAAAAGGCGGAAGAAGCCTGGGTTTCTGAAAAACCAATGGAATCATATGGAACAGAGCCATCTGCTGATCAGGATCGCTTGCTTCAGATTAGTATGTGAATGAAAGTTAAGTTTCTATTATTACAACAGCCTAGTCCATCCTAATATACCATCAATATATGCAATTTAAATTACCTAATACCCTATTGTTAGACATTCAGACTGGATAAACTGTATTTTGAGGTGTAGTATTGTGTGTTTAGCTCAACTTCCCAGTAGTGGGGTGCATCAGATAAAATGCTTTTGGCTTTAAGTAACAGAACACCCAATTGAAACTCATCAACAATAAGGGATTTAGTAGCTAACTGGGAGTCCATTGGTACGGTGGACTACACTGATTGCTACAATGACGTGAGGACTCAATTTCTTTCCGCGTCTCTTCTCTTTTATACAAATGTTGTTTGCCTCCTAGGGCTAATTTCCTGGTGATTGTAGAAGAGCTGGCTGCAATCAGGCTTACACGCTTCATTGTTCCCATGCAACAGGGAAGTATGTTTCCCACAATCAGCCAACAGCAGCTCAAAGCTTTGTGCTGATTGGCTCATCCCTGAACCAAATCCTGTGGACATGCGGGTTCGATTACCCAATTGTGGCCTTGACCAATCAGGGCTGCCTGCTGGAGCTGAAGTTGGCCTGGTCCCACACAAACTACATGACTGCCAGAAATGATGCCTATTTTTATAAAGGGACAGAGAGACTGGGTTGCCCATATATACAGAGGAGGAAGTCACTTCAGTTTTTTTCTGAAATAGAAAAAGTTTTTTTGAAGATGCTAAAAAAAAAAAAGTGAAGTAATTTCACCCTTACATGGATTAAAATATGTCTCTGGAAAAATTACTTTCTGCAAAAAAGACAAGAGGATTGAAACTGTGAATGTGATTTAAAGCCAAGGACACAGATTCCACAACCTGGGAGAAACTAAATGACTTGGAAACAAAGTCCAGCTCTTTCAGAAATTATATATATATATATATATACACACATATATATGTAATATATAATTTCTATATACATTATTTTATATATAATAATATACTATAATATATAATTTTATATATAATAATATACTATAATATATAATTTTATATATAATATATACTTATATATTTTATATTAATATATATTTTATATAATATATTATATATCATATATTATATATTTTATATATTGTATATTATATATTTTATATATTATATATATATTTATATTTTATATATATATATATATATATATATATTTTAAGATGGAGTCTCGCTCTGTCGCCCAGGCTGGAGTGCAGTGGCATGATCTCGGCTCACTGCAGCCTCTGCCTCCCAGGCTCAAACGATTCTCCTGCCTCAGTGTCCCTAGTAGCTGGGATTACAGATGTCCACCACCACGCTTGGCTATTTTTTTTTGTATTTTTAGTAGAGACAGGGTTTCACCATGTTGGCCAGGCTGGTTTCGAACTCCTGGCCTCAAGTGATCCACCCGCCTCGGCCTCCCAGAGTGCTAGGATTACAGGTGTGAGCCACTGTGCCTGGCCAGAAATAATATTTTATAAGAAGCACTTTCATAGTGAGATGGTACAAAGGCACAAAGTGGAATAAAAAAAGACAGTGGTGTATCCTGATGTCATGTGCAGAATATTTAAGTTCAAATGTGTTTCTCAGACTGTTACCTCCGTGTTATTGAAATATCTTGCACACTTATGTGCATTAAGCCATGAGTCAAGGACACTACCTCTATGCAAAGCTCAAGCTACATATGCTGATCTTAGCTGTTTCCTGGACATTATACCATGTACTAGTAATAAAAGAGAGATAGCTAAGTGAATGTTTTTCTTTCCATATTACATTACTCTTTACCTTTAAGACAGGAATTAGATTTTACTTGTTGGTTCAGAGAATTAGGCCAATTATTTTAATGCAACATAAATAATTTCTCTCAGTGCAGACGCTCTTTGATACACTTAAAACCCCTGCCTGTGCAATCTGCACAAAGAAAAGAAATGCGAAGAGATCTGCTATAATTAAGATTAAGCTCAACGACAAAGCAGGCATTGAATTTAAAATTAATTGGTAATGTCAACCACAAAATGGTCTAATTCACCTTTTCTACTGTTCTATGGAGACAACAAAAGCAAGGGAGCCTGCTCTGCTTGTTTTTCTGTCCTACCCCATCCCTGGTACAATCCAAATTGTCTTTCTAACACAATCCTTGACATCCAATTCAACTTCTCCTTCCTCCACCGAAACCTCCTGGGCTACTACAGCCCTTATCTCCAGATTTCCTGGCACTCACTGAAAGGGCAGTAAAGAATAGGAATAAAAGCTCAAACAGTGAAGTCAGTCAGACCTGCAGTCAACCCAGATCTCAATCTACTAGCTATGTGACTGAGGGCAAGTTATTAATCCACTTTAAGCCTCAGTTTCCTCCTCTGAGATAATGCATGCAGAACACCCAGCACAGTGCCTGGCTAGAAGCGGTGAATGTCAGCTGTTACTCATATTTCTTTTTTTTTTTTTTTTTTTTTTTTGAGATGGAGTCTTGCTCTTTCACCCAGGCTGGAGTACAGTGGAACGATCTCAGCTCACTGCAACCTCCACCTCCTGGGTTCAATCGATTCTCCTGTCTCAGCCTCCTGAGTAGCTGGGGTTACAAGCACGTGCCACCACATCAGGCTAATTTTTATATTTTTAGTAGAGACGGGGTTTCACCATGTTGGCCAGGCTGGTCTCGAACTCCTGACCTCAAGTGATCCACCCGCCTTGGCCTCCCAAAGTGCTGGGATTACAGGAGTGAGCCACCACACCCGGCCTGTTATTCATATTTCTGTATAGTCTCTCCCCATGCCATTTAGAGTCTCACAACACTGGACAGGTAGTCCAATTGGACAGCGCACAACCTATCCCTCTTGTGCTGAACTAAAGGGAACTAAAAATGCATTTCGAAGTAGAGATGGTTGTGGACCAGGTTAGACCAGGAAAGCCAATGGCTGCAGGATGAGGGCTGCACCAGGTGAGTCTCTGTTCTAAGATGACAGGCTTGTAATGAGTACCCATAAATACAGAATGAAACAACCACAAAACTCCAACCAACTTAGGTGACTAAAAGAAACTCCAGGGCTTCTGCTGTAAGAGAAAGAACTTGAACTTGAATGTCAGCACCAGCATCCAAAAGAGCACTGCTAGTCAGAACTTTTTGTTTAATGTCTGGTCAAGCAGACATTTGGATTTTGCTGGAATTTAGAAATGGGCTGGACTCACATGTGAAATCTTTATGTGTTAGGTTCTGTCTTAGTCCATCTACTACAACAAAATACCATAGATTGGGTGGCTTATAAACAACAAAAATTTATTTCTTACAGTTCAGAGGCTAGGAAGTCCAAGATCAAGGTGCAGGCACATTTGATATCTGGGGAGCACCCGCTTTCCGTTCATAGATGGCTGTCCTCTCGCTGTATCCTTGCATGGCAGAAAGGGTGAGAAGGCTCTGAGGTCTCTTTTATGACGGCACTAATCCCATTTACGAGGGCTTTGCCTCAGGACTTCTTCACCTGCCAGAGCGCCACCTCCTGATGCCCTCACCTTGGGGGTTAGGATTTCAACGTATAATTTGGGATGACCCAAATATTCAGACTAGCAAATTCCAGTTGGGTTGGATGGGAGAGGCAATATTTTGTTATGAGAACTTTGGGGTGTCGCTTTTCTGGCCGGAAAACTCTGTGGCCAGTGGTGCCTCTGTGTGAGTTTTGCTCGGGTCTGCTGGGCTCATTCCACCCCCTCAGCCTGGCAGGCTGTGCTCGGCTCATGCTACCAGCCTGGATCCCACGCCTCGAGGGAGACTGCGAGTCAGGTGTGGAGCAGTGAGGGGTGTGTGAGCAAGTGTGGGGTCCAGCCACTGTGCACAGTCAGATACACTGACTGCTGCCGTGGGGCGGGCAGCTGCAGGTGCTGGCACAGGCGTCGGCTCTCTGCGAGGCTGCTGCTGGGCCAGCTGCACCACAAGCAGCTTCCACGGCTGGCACCAGGGAACACAGTGGTGCCCAGAAGCTTGGAGACTCCAGGAACCTCAGAGCCCCAAAGGGGTAGTCACAGCCCTGGCTTGGGGAGCTCCCAGGTCTAGGTTTCCCAAAGAGCTGCAGCTCCTCTCCTTCTCTCCTTCTCACTTCTCTCGTCCTTGTCACTCACAAAATGGCGAGCAAGTGGCGTGTTTCAGCCCTGTCTGTATTACAGCTCTTTTAGCCCCGCCATTTGGCAGGTCTCAGATTATCGTCCTGTGTCCAGGAGGAATGAGGTACACAGACAAGTGGAGCGTGAGCAAGACGAAGAGGAGCTTTACTGAACAATAGAACAGCTCACAGTAGACCTGGAGTGTGCAGCTCCTCTGCATAGCCAGGGTGTC
Source organism: Homo sapiens (assembly GCF_000001405.40). NCBI lineage: Eukaryota > Metazoa > Chordata > Mammalia > Primates > Hominidae > Homo > Homo sapiens. Next base: position 71,232,210 of record NC_000014.9, on the reverse strand, counting down.
CCGATGAGTGTTCAGCTCTCAGCAGGGAGGGTAGCTCCTCTCTGCTGGGCAGGTCGTCCCAAGGAGTGTTCCGTGTTCGGTAGAGAAGGTAGCTCCTCTCTTCTCTGCAGCTGGTTGGCCCATCTTCTCTTCAGCTCTCAGCAGAGAGGGTAGCTCCTCTCTGCAGGCAGGTCTCCTGATAAGTGTCCAGCTGTCAGCAGAGAGGGTAGTTCCTCTCTGCAGCTGGTCGGCGTGTCATCTCCCCATCATCTTTCTTCCTCTGCTGGAGTCTGGCTGAATCTGAATCTGAGGCTTGTATGGGCCTTACCGGGGAGGAAGTGTGTGCTGATTGGTTCATGGGTGGCCATGGGCGGGCCCAGGGAAAAGCACCATAAGTTCCCCCTGCAGTCTTTGGGGACTGGTGGCATAGCCCTCAGGCTTCAGGCCCTCCCCAGTTTGAAGGTGGGGCTTCACTCACTGGGGACCAGCCCCCTTCTGCCCAGGAGTCTGTCTGCCTTCTACCACTATTCATGGCGCCCAAGCTGTTCATGCCAGGGGGCGCCTGCAGACCAGTGCCAGACTGTCCTCAGCCCCCCTCAGCCTCCCTCCAGTGCTTGTTGGTACCTAAAGTCCAGAGGGGGCCGAGGTGCCAGGGGGCTGGCGTGTCAGGCATGTCAGCACTGCCCCCACTGTGTGCACACTCATCTGGGCTGTGACAGCCCAGGGCTTGGCCTCGACTTTGCTCAGAGATCAGAGCAGGCACCAACAGTGGGAGGAAGCCAGGCAGCGCAAGCAGGCATTTCTGACGGGGGTGAGATGGGGGCGGGTAGCAGGGGGCCTTCCTGGGCCCCCAGGAGTGCACAGATGCCTGGGTCTGTAGCCACGGCAGGGTGGCTTCAGGCTGCACCCGGGGAGCTTCCACCCCACCAACTCGGAAGGGTTGGGGTTCCTGCTTGTCCCCAGCTCCCACTGGGTCTGTGGAGTGTGCAGCCCCAGCCACGCCTCCTTGTAGCCTTGGCCGGGGCCTCCAGGTCCTCACTGGGACACTCTCTGCCTGCTCCTCCATGCCCAACCGCACTGCTCCCCCACCAGTGGGCAGCTCAGCCCGCTCCATCATAGTGGCCCCTCGGGCGGTGGCCTCCAGGGGGCTCCCAGGGGCAGGCTCTGGGGACTGCCCACTTCCTCCTTGTGCCCTCCTTGCAGTGGCTGCGAGCAAGAGCAGCGACACGGGGCCAGGGTCCAGGGCGGTAGAGGCTCTGGGCCTGGAAGTGGGTCTCACCTAGCCACGCCAGGGTGGGCACGATGCAGTTGGCTGCCTCAGGGACGTGGGGCACAGGGGTCCCACTGCTGCCACTGCCGTTCCTGCTGCCACTGCCTGCGTCCCTGCTGCCACGGCCGACGCGATGGCAGCAGATGCTCCAGATGGCCTGCTACTGCCATCAGGTTAACATTTTTAAGAGAACAACATATTTTCACTCACCTAAAAAAAATGAGTCAATAGTCTGGGCATGGTGGGTAATGCCTGTAATCCTAGCACTTTAGGAGGCCAAGGTGGGAGGATCCTTGAGCTCAGAAGTTTGAGACCAGCCTGGGCAACATAGTGATATCCTGTCTTTACAAAAAAATCAAAAAATTAGGTAGATGTAGTGGTGCACCTGTAGTCCCAGTTACTCGGGAGACTGAGGCAGGAGAATGGTTTGAGCCCAGGAGGTCGAAACTGCAGTGAGCCATCATCGAACCACTGCCCTCCAGCCTGGGTGACAGAGTGAGACCCTGTCTCAAAATAAATAAATAAATAGGCCATTTACAAAGGATTTTATAAATTTGTTAGTTGAAAGAAGTCTGTTAGGCCCTGAATTGGGCAACACAAGCTAACCAGCACTTGTACTTGGAGTGACAGAAGTTTCTTTCTTTCTCAAATACAAATATTCATTTGCTGCTTTTTCATGGCCAGTGGTTAACAGCCTGGACCACAGAATAATGTAAATCAGCATCAGAGCTCTGGCTCTGTGCCCCATAAGGCACAGGATCTAGAGTAAGTTACATGGGCTCTCCAAGTATCCATTTCTTCATCTGTGAAATGGGAATAATAATTCTCCCTAATATGAGATTTGGCCCCACCCAAATCTCATCTTGAGTTGTAGCTCCCACAATTCCCACATCGTGGGAGGGACCCGGTGGGAGATGATGGAATCATGGGTTCGGGTCTTTCCTGTGCTGTTCTTGTGACAGTGAATAAGTCTCATGGGATCTGATGGTTTTATAAAGAGGAGTTCCCCTACGCAAGCTCTTTTGCCTGCCGCCGTGCTCTTCCTTTGTCTTCCGCCATGATTTTGAGGCCTCCCCAGCCATGTGGAACTGTGAGCTAGTTAAACCTCTCTCCTTTATAAATTACCCAGTAATATGGCTTTCTTAGCAGCATGAGAACAGACTAATACAACACCTCACATGTGTGCTATGAGGATTTAATGAGCTAAACCATGCAAATAACTCAGCCTAATATCTTGCACATAATAAACACTCAATAAATGCAAGCAGTTACGATAATAACTATTCCACAATTCAGGTTTCTTACTACCTTTCTTTAGCACTTTCTTTAAATGCTCTGACTAAAGTGTTTAATCACACACTTTACATGGAACTTGGAGATAGTACTTTGCTGTTTTGAGGAATTGACATTTTTTTAACCAATGAATTTTCTGAATAGTGTTCTGTGGATATTAAGAATTATAGGATGAAGCCAGACGTGTTGGCTTACACTTGTAATCCCAGCACTTTGGGAGGCTGAGGCAGGAGGATGGTTTGAGCCCAGGAGTTCAAGACCAGCCTGGGCAACACAGCAAGACCCTGTCTCAAAAAAAAAAAAAAAAAAAAAAAAAAAGAATGATAAGGATGAAAGTTGTCACCAAAGGTTTGTGTAGGAGATGAGAAAACTAGACCCAAAGGTGAGAGGGGTTGATATAACTTACAATTACTTACCTGAGAAATCAGCTCTTCTTCCAAATTGAGTTGTTTTCCTACTCTCAGCAAAACATGTTTCAATTTATTCTCTGACTTCAGAAAACTTCTATAAGTCAAATACCTACCAAATCATCTATGTCCTTGAACTGAATCTAGGAAACTCTGAGAGATGATATTTATGCATATATTACAGCAAGAATGGGCTAAAAAATGTAATTCTCCTTGGAGAGCTTTGAAGAACAGGGTGTCTTTTGTTTATGTATTCTGAGGTGATGTCATTGTCTCCCCAGTCACCGGGTCACTGGGAGGGTGCAAGGAGTTGCGATAGGGCTGGCCTGGAGCAGTGATGGATTTCACCTCTCACCTGAACTCTTCATGAACAATAGCCCATTTGTCAGGCTGTGGACCCAGGCCTTTCTGCTTATGAAAGGAGGCACAGTCACATGACCTTCATGAGGCCTGAAATTCTCACATCAGCCTTCTTATAAGAGGGCTGTAACCACAAAAGTCAAAAGCTACAGCTGGGGCCAGGCTCTGGCAAGGCACTGGGAATGCAGAGGTGACGACCCAGACAGGCATGGCCACTGGCTTCCTGAAGCTTACACTCTAGTGGGAAAGACAGCATGTAAACAACTGGCAAACAGGAATTAATTACAGTTGAAATGAGCACCATGAAGCACAGAGCAGTGCTGGGTTTTATAATGGGATCTAATGGGGAGGGAGAGGAAGAGCTAGGCATGACATTGAAAACACATTTTGAAAAATATCAAAACAAACACAGAAACATGACGTAGAACACCAACTGTGCTTCAGTTTTAAAGATAAAGCTGAAGACAGCAGAGAAACATCACATTTGCCTAGGGTGGGACTGACAGGGCCTTGTCCTCTCCAAAGTTAGGAGTTGAGGCTTCTGGTTGCTGGGAGTGGCTCAGTAGGAAGAGTTTGAGAAGCTCTGGCAGGGACACAGAGGGTTTGGGCTCCAGAGGTGGAGCCCTCCAGATGTAAAAGTCCCCTAAAACAATGAGAAGGAACCTGCTGGATGGCTGGAGGGCAGCCCATTTCCAGGAGGTCCACAGCCCAGATTGGCAGTCATCAATACCCTTTCCTGGCCACGCCATTCTCCAAATTGCTCACACAGCTGGCACTGTTGCCTCCTCAGCCCCGGCTGCCCCTCTCGTTTTATGCTGCCATCCAGTCTTCCCTCAGGGTGCGGATGAAGCTGTTTGTCTTGAGACACAAAGGAGCCTGTGCATGTGTGTGTGCGCACACACAGAGAAAGAGAGAAGATGAGAGGAGAGAGACATCTGAGCCACTATCCTTTCCTGCTGCACTCTGTTCAACTCTGTTTATCTCTCTTTTGGGGGTAATTGCCAATTCATCTGCTAATTTACCTGATTTTCAGTCCATCTCCTTGGGACACAGTGGGCTCAAGACATCACCAAATAATGTCAGCCATCATTTGACCCCTTCCCCAACCCTCTAGCTCCAGTCCAGCATCTTCAAACTTCTCTTACTAGACTTTCCTGGATGAGGCATTTCTGAGGCGTGGGGAAGAAGCAGTCAGATGGAAGCAGTCCCTAGCAGTCACCGCTGTGGGATGAGGAATGACTGAGGGGAAGAGAAGAAAATGGAAGTAGAGAGGGCAGTCTTCCCTTTCACAAAGTGTGTGGGCCAAGGTGGTATCAGTTGCAGGTGAATTTCTGGGACCAGGAAAGCTCACAAAACAACAGAACCTGAATGTTTTGGGGGACTTACCCAGAACTACTAAATCCTAGAATTTTTTTATTTCTTATTTTTAAAATTTTAAAAATTTTTTGTAGAGACGGGGTCTTGCTATGTTGCCCAGGCTGGTCTTGAACTTTTATCCTCAAGCAGTCCTCCTACCTTGGCCTCCCAAAGTGCTGGCATGAGCCACCATGCCTGGCCTTGAATCATAGAATTCTTGAACATCATCAAACCTACAAAGGCCCAAAGTAAAACATAGTAAAGAATAACTGAAAAATAAAATGATCTCTTTGAATCTTTAATAATTCTATTCTGGCTGGGCGCAGTGGCTCACACCTGTAATCCCAGCACTTTGGGAGGCCAAGGTGGACACACCACTTGAGGCTAGGAGTTTGAGACCAGCCTGGCCAACATGGTGAAACACCGTCTCTAAAAAAAATGACAAAAATTAGCCAGGCGTGTTGTACTATGCTTGTAATCCCAGCTACTCCAGAGGCTGAGACATGACAATCGCTTTAACTGAGGAGGTGGAGGTTGCAGTGAGCTGAGATCACACCACTGCACTCCCAGCCTGGGCGACAGAGCAAGACTCTTTCTCAAAATAATAATTAATAATAATAATAATAATAATTCTATTCCTACAGGACTCCAGTTATTTGTAATAGCATCTCACTTTCTTAGATCCCTTGACATGCATCATTAGCGGTTGTCTTCCTATCAGATTAGTTTGTCACATACAAGAAGTTTTACCTTTGTGACAACCACAACGAGCAGAGAATGTTGGTGTTGATACATGAATGCTGATAATTAATCTCATTCTCCCTAAGACTCCATTTTTGTATCCTAGCTTCACTATAAAATTTGATGCTTTATTATACTGAATACATTTTTTTAAACCTCAAGAATGTAAGTTACACAATGCTACAGTTTGAATGTGTCTCCCAGAATTCATATTTTGGAAACTTAATTCCCAATGTGATAGTATTGGGAGGTAGGGGCTAATGGGAAGTGTTTAGGTCATGAGGAATCCATCCTCATGAACAGATTCATGCCCTTAAGAAAGGGCTGGTGGGAGTGGGTTCGCTCTCTTGCGCTCTTGACCTTCCACTTCCGCCATACAATGACAAGCAAGAAGGCCCTCACCAGCTGCCAGTGCCTTGATCCTGGACTTCACAGCCTCCAGAACTGTGAGCCAATGAATTTCTGTTTATTATAAATCACCCAATCTCAGGAATTCTGCAATAGCAGCACAAAATGGGCTAAGATATTGGCATTTCAAACCAACTGGAGACAGAATAAAATATTCAATAGATAGCATTGGATTGATATGCTACTTGTTTGGGGACAGAGAAAAGTTAGATTGCCCCACTCCACCTCATACCTTACTTAACAATTAATTCCTTATGACCAAAGAGCTGAGCATAAAGCAAAACTAACAACTTTAAAATATATTTAACAGAATTTGAAAAAAACATCCTGAGATGGGGAAAATCTCCTAAAACGAGATTTAAATCCAGAAACCTTAAACAAAATAACTGACAGTTTGTTTACATAAAGTGGCAAATTTTGCATCTAAAAAGATACCATGAACAAAATTGAAAACAAAATGGGTGTGGTGCAGTGGCTCATGCTTATAATCCCAGCACTTTCGGAGGCTGCGGTGGACGGATCACCTGAGGTCAGGACTTCAAGACCAGCCTGACAAACATGAAGAAACCCCATCTCTACTAAAAATACAAAGATTAGCTGGGCATGGTGGCAGGCACCTGTAATCCCAGCTACTCGGGAGGGTGAGGCAGGAGAATCATTTGAACCTGGGAGGCGGAGGTTGCAGTGAGCTGAATTTGTGCCACTGCCCTACACCCTGGGCAACAGAGTGAGACTGTCTCAAAAAACAAACAAACAAACAAAAATCCAAAATGGCTAGGCTGAAAGTAAACCTTTTTGAGTATACCTGACAAGCAGCCTCCCCAGGTATTCTTTTCTCAGTAGAACTCCTCTTATCTTCAACACTCAGACCTCATAAAATGTACATATCTCTCCAATACAGTATTTTTTGAACCAATGTTTATATAGAACATTTTATTTGTACATTCCCCAAACTCAAGATAATATTTTTAAACAAAGTAGGTTGTGTGGGAGGGAAAGGGGAAGAATTTTCCAGTTACTTTCCAATTATAATTGGAAGGATGTCAGAATCACATGCAGATGTTTTGAAAAGTGCCAAGTGTTAACAAAGGGATGTGAGTAGGATGTTGATGGCTACACACAAGCAAATGTCTGTTAAAAGTCACGTGAACTGTTTGGTGATCAGGAAACAATGTTTTGTGAGGTGGGGTGGCTCACGCCTAATCCCAGCACTTAGGAAGGTCAAGGCAGGAGGATTGCTTGAGGCCAGAAGTTTGAGACCAGCCTGGTCAATATAGCAAGACTCTCTTTCTACCAAAAATTAGAAACTTAGCTGGGTGCGGTGGCACTCACCTGTAGTCCCAGCTACTCAGGAGGCTGAGGTGGGAGGATTGCTTGAGCTCAGGATTTACAGGCTGCAGTGAATTATGATCATGCCACTGTACTCCAGCCCGGGCATCAGAGTAAGATCCTTTCTCTAAAAAGATTTAAAGGAAGCAATGTTGTATGCATCTTATGTACTAAATAATTTGTTAAATACATTGACATATTCCGGTGTTTTAGGAAATTGACTGGCAGTGTTATATTGATAGGAAATGGAATCCTCATTAGTATTTTCATTCAGTTTCTGGTGTTTAGAGATGGATTTCTGATGTAATGGAGACATGTTTGTATTCACAAATGGTAATATAGACAGGTTAATATTGAGAAAATACATAAAGTGATTTGTTCAAATCTAAAAGAAAAAGATGAAACAAAAAGATTTAAAATCACTAGGAAATGGGTAAAGAATGGAAACAGACAATTCACAAGAGAAAAAAAATTGTGAAATTGTGAAATTAACCAATAAATATGAACAGTACTCAACCTCACTGTAAGCAAAAAAATACATTAAGTATATTCACTTGATCTTAGCCAAAAGGCCGAGAAGTGACATATTAAGTATATTCAAACAATGAATTACCCTCTTAAAATCCATCAGATTTACAGAAGAGAAAAAAATTGATAATATTGAGTTGTTGAAGATTTGGGAAATCAGGCACTTTTATTTTTCTAGTGGCTGTGAACATTGATGAAGGCATTTTTCAAGGCAAATTGCTAGTATCTATTAAAAACTGCAATGCATACATACTTTAACAACTTATTTCTAGAAACCTATCATTCCAAAATACATATATTCACAAAGATATGTGCATCTTTATGAATACATATTGCAGCATTATTTGTAATATCAAAACATATTGAAAAGATCCAAAATGTATACCAAGAATTTAAATATATTATGGTATGAAACACCATGCTATTGTTAGAGAGAGTCAGGTAGACTTATGCATACTGAGATGAAAGGTCTCCAAAGCATATTAAGTGAACAGAGCAAGTTGCAGAAAAATACGTGCAAAATTCGACATTTATGTGTACGCCTGTAGAGATATGTCAGCAAATATATAGGAAAGGAGACTGAAAGGATGCACACTGAACTGTCTAGAACAGTTGCTTCTGGGAGAGAAGTAGTTGTTGGAGGAGGTGCTGGACGATGGTATTCTCCGTTACCAAATATTCCAGTTTCTTGCCCTGCAGTGCCCCTCTCTGCAGGAGTCTATTTTCCCACACTGTTGACCTCAGGAATGACCATATTACTTGCTTTGGCCAATAACTGATGTTGGTCATTTTTGTGCAAAGTTTTAGAAGTTAAGGCACCCTTTGCCTTGTCTTTTTCCTTCTGCCACGAGATTGGTGATATTTCAGATAGAGGTTAGGTTCTTCCATCAGTTTTGGTTCTGGAGTCAAGATGGTAAAAAGCAGAGCTGTGGTGGACTCATGAAAAACATGCATGGCCAGGCGCCGTGGCTCAGGCCTGTAATCCCAGCACTGTAGGAGGCCAAGGTGGGCAGATCACTTGAGGTCAGGAGTTTGAGACCAGCCTGGCCAACATGGTGAAACCCTGTATCTACTAAAAGTACAAAAATTAGCTAGGTATGGTGGCACGTGCCTGTAACCCCAGCTACTTGTGAGGCTGAGGTGGGAGGATCGCTTGAACCTGGGAGGCGGAGGTTGCAGTGAGCTGAGATTGTGCCACTGCACTCCAGCCTGAGCAATAGAACAAGACTCCATCTCAAATAAAAAATAAAAAATTAATAAAGGCTGGGTGCAGTGGCTAATGCCTGTAATCCCAGCACTTTGGGAGGCAGAGGTAGGCAGGTCACCTGAGGTCAGGAGTTTGAGATCAGCCCTGCCAACATGGTGAAACCCTGTCTCTACTAAAATACAAAAATTTGCTGGGCGTGGTGGTGTGCACCTGTAATCCCAGCTACTCGGGATGCTGAGGTAGGAGAATTGCTTGAACCCAAGAGGCAGAGTTTGCAGTGAGCCAAGATCGCTCCACTGCACTCCAGCTTAGGCGAAAGAGCCAGACGCTGTCTCAAAATAAATAAATAAATAATTTTTAAAAAGAAAAATAAAAATAGAAAAACATGTAGTGCGAACAAGAAAAAAATCTCACACCTGTAATCGCAGCACTTTGGGAGGCTGAGGTAGGAGGATTGATTAAGGCCAGAAGTTTAAGACCAGCCTGCGCAATACAGGACAAATAAATAAATAAATGAATAAAGTTACTGAGGTTTGGAGACATTTATTACTGTAGTATAACATGGCCTACTGTGACTGGTACCAATAAGGAAAACTTCCACAGGTTTTCTTCCATATTTTTTTATTGTATAGACATTTTGGAATATACATATACTTATGTATTACTTATAAACTAATTTTTAAAAATTGACATCTCAGGCCGGGTACAGTGGCTCATGCTTGTAATCCCAGCACTTTGGGAGGCCAAGGTGGGTGGATCATGATGTTAGGAGTTCGAGACCAGCCTTACCAACATGGTGAAACCTCATCTGTACTAAAAATACAAAAATTAGCTGGGCGTGGTGGCATGTGCCTGTAATCTCAGCTACTCAGGAGGCTGAGGCAGGAGAATTGCTTGAACCCGGGAGGCGGAGATTGCAGTGAGCTGAGATCATGCCACTGCACTCCAGCCTGGACGACAGAGCGAGACTCTGTCTCAAAAAAAAAAAAAAAATTACATCTCAGCAAAATTACAAATGACCACATGTCAAGGGCCTTCAGGATTGTTGACAATTAGAAACTGCAAAAGCAAAATCCTGGAATTCCAAGGGCAAATTTGAAGTGCCTGCCTGAAACATGACTGCATGCCAACACACTATGTAGTGCTGTGAGGAGGTAAGAGGTATGTTGTCAAGCCAGGGACCAAGAAATATAGTGGTTAACTAGACAGGTGAGAAATCTTCTTGTGTATATTAGAGGAAGGACATTCGGGCAGTCAGCGTTCCACCTTCTAACTGTAGTGCTGAAGCGCATCCCAGTAAATGGTGGGGTCATAGTGGTTGCTTTTGTAGACATTATGAGATGTTGTTCTTCAGTAGTAGGGATTAAGTTGCAATGATTGCTGAGTCACTGTTGTCTGAATGTGCCGGCTCTTCAAATGTGTCCTGAACACAAAGAATTTGAGAACCCCTGACTCAGGAAGTAGGGCAGGTAATTATGCATAGACTCTTCTTTCCTGGTGGCTGCTGCCCCTCACCTGAATCTAAATGCTCAGCACTTACTCCTTGATGGAGCACCTGTTCCATGGGGGCCAGGCCTCAGCAAACCTACCCCCAAAAATCCAAGGAAGCTGAGAGGCTGAAGAAAAAGGCTGACATATCCAGTTCCTCAGAAATATACACTTAATAGGGACTTACAAACAGAAGCCATGTCTGTGTCTCAGGCAGCAGTGAGGCAAGATGGTGGATCCTGCACCATTTATTCTCATGACCAGGGCTTATATAATACTGGGAAAGGGTATATGTGATTCAGAATGTTTGTGTAGAACAATTGAAGTCCTATAACATCAAGGTTGTTTTGACCTCAGGGCAGGATTTACAGTAGGTACCTACTCTCACACAAGAAACATCAAATAAACTGGAAATCTTAGAGGACTTCCTAGAACAAGGGTTAATCAGAAGTTAAAGTGATGGATTAGCATCCAAGTTGGAGTTGCTTTGGCCTCCACAGCACCTCCTCTTTGTTAGGCGCTGGAATTGCTGTTAGCAATACAGACACAATTCTTGCTCTCAAATGCATAGCCTAGTAGAGGAGACAGATCAGTTATACATACATAAAGGCACAGATAACAGTAATAGCAATAGTAACCCTTTCTGAAAGGGGTAGTCGTTTTCAAGTATTTATAGTTCACACATACACACACAAACCAACCCAGCAAGCCCAGTATAATTTCCCTACTTTTACAGATGAGGGCATTGAGATTGGGAGAAATGAACTGGCTTCCTTAGGTTCCAACAGACCATAGGTAGAGGCTCAGCCTCAAGTTCTTCTCGTCTATGCAAAGTGACCTCCTGTGCAAAAGGATGAGTAAATAATAGCATCAGAGTGAAACAAAAGGCTGTGAGGCACAGAAGATATCAAAACTTTAACCTTGAATCAAAACTTTAACCTTCAGAGCAGGATGCAACAATCCAGCTTTTTGTTTACTTTGTTCCCAGAGGTTAAAGCAGACCCCGGTGAGTGGAGTGGCCTGGAAATCTGACTTTGGTTAGCTATGGTTAGAATTCCTTCTATTTCTGCCTGCATGCCCGCCCCCTTCTAGTACTGGAAGTAAACATCTTACTTGATAGGGGGATGGGGTTAGGGAGAAGGAAAGTCCTCACAATAGGTCTGCTGTTGTGCAAAGAATTCTACGAGATGCAGATTTAGACCAAGGCAGTGGGGGCAGTGGGGGAAGGGGTGGTGCCAAGGTCCCACCCATCAAGTCCCTTCTGTGGCTGAGGCTGAGAATTGGTCACATATATTTGCCATCAGCTAAGTGATCTGTTTAACGTTTTTCCTGGTTAGGCTCTCAGCACAGAGAAATATCCTAGGAGATCAAGCTCAGTCAGGTCTGTTCTCTGTTACTTAAGGGAGTTTAACCTGAACAAGGGTTTAGCAGGGCTCCCAGTCCCAAGACCATTTTCGTATGGGTTTATTTTCCCACTGGCAGGGTGAGTGAGAACAGTGAGTGAAGTTTTCACCAAAAGAAACCAAAAATCCAAGCAAGAGGCCTTGGTGGTGGTCTCCTGTTCTGGGCTCTGCTTTAGGGCTGAGGTCTCAGCCTTTGCACCACAGGATCCACAGGACCCCATGGACACTCAACAGAGGCAGTGGAAGCCAGGGAAGAGACATTCTGGACAACCTATGGGATGGTGAGCGGCTCAGCTCTGTATTATGAATGGAAGTCAGAGGAAAAAGAGATTTATAAGAGTCTTTTAACAAGTGCTCCAGCTGACTAAAATGGTAAATAAAGACAGAGAGAGGCTGAGTGCGGTGACTCATGCCTGTAATCCCAGCACTTTGGGAGGCCAAGGCAGGAGAATCACTTGAGTCTAGGAGTTCGAGACCAGCCTGGGCAACATAGTGAGACCTTGTATCTACAAAAAATAAAATTGTCAGAGGCAGTTGAACTAGAGCAACTCCATCTTGAATAGGGGCTGTGTAAAATAAGGCTGAGACCTACTGGGCTGCATTCCCAGACAGTTAGACCTTCTAAATCACAGGATGAGATAGAGGTCAGAACAAGATACAGGTCACAAAGACCTTGCTGATAAAACAGTTTGCAGTAAAGAAGCCAGCTAAAACCCACCAAAACCAAGATGGTGATGAGAGTGACCTCTGGTCGTCCTCACTGCTACACTCCCACCAGCACCATGACAGTTTACAAATGCCATGGCAACATCAGGAAGTTACCCTATATGGCCTAAAAAGGGGAGGCATGAATAATCCACCCCTTGTTTAGCATATCATCAAGAAATAACCATAAAAATGGGCAGCCAGCAGCTCTTGGGGCTTTTCTGCCTATGGAGTAGCCATTCTTTTACTCCCTTAGTAAACTGGCTTTCACTTTCCTCTATGGATTTGCCTTGAATTCTTTCTTGTATGAGATCCAGGAACCCTCTCTTGGGGTCTGGATTGGGACCCCTTTCCGATAACAAAATTAGCTGGGCATGGTTGTGCATGCCTGTTGTCCCGGCTACTTGGGAGGCTGAGGTGGGAGAATCGATTGACCCCCGGAGGCTGAGGCTGCAGTGAGCTGAGATTGCACTATTGCACTCCAGCCTGGGTGACAGAGTGAGATCTTGTCTCAAAAAAAACCAAACAACAACAACAACAAAAAACAAACCAAAAACAGAAAGAGAGGGAAAAAAATGGGTGAAAGAGGCAGTTACCTTGTGCCTGGGAAACATGGAATGTTTCATGGAATGTGAGAAAACTGTACAAACATTTCAATAGAGCAACAGGTGGTGAAGGTTTCTTTTTTTTTTCTTTTTTTTTTTTTTTTGAGACAGAGTCTCGCTCTGTCACACAGGCTGGAGTACAGTGGCACAGTCTTGGCTCACTGCAACCTCCACCTCTCGGGTTCAAATGATTCTCCTGCCTCAGCCTCCCAAGTAGCTGGGACTACAGGTGCCCACCACCATGCCCGGCTAATTTTTTGTATTTTTAGTAGAGAGGGGGTTTCACCATGTCGATCTCTTGACCTCGTGATCCACCTGCCTCGGCCTCCCAAAGTGCGGGGATTACAGGTGTGAGCCACCGCACCCGGCCTGTAGGTTTCTTTAGAGCTGTGATTCAATGACATGTAGCATCAAGTTTATATGAGTGTCACATTTCCTTTGAATAGTGTTAAAAATGACTCTAAACTTTTGAATCATCAAAGGTCAGAAGAGGACACTTAACTTTTTCCATTATACTCAGCTGCTCTTCTTAGGGGACATTTTGTGCTCTTGTGAAGTGAGCAATTGAGGTGCCAAAGGCCAGTGTGGTATGCCCTGTTTCTGACCTCTTAACCTGTGGGTGTCTTGAGGAAGAAAGTGGCTTAAAAAAAAATCTTTGTTTCCTCTGTGCCTGGAAGGGCCAGGAGGGGGTGGAGGGCAGACAATGCCAGGTGGCACTCACTCTCAGGGTTGTGCAAGTGAGTTTCTCCTTAAACTTTGTCTGCTCAATGCCTCATTGGCCCCAGCCTAGTCCTGGCTCTGGGGTCAAGCACAGTGCAGAGATGACAATAAGAGCTCCTTGGCCAGGCACAGTGGCTCACGCCTGTAATCCCAGCACTTTGGGAGGCCTTGGCAGGTGGATCACTTGGGGTCAGGAGTTAAGCTCAGCCTGGCCAACATGGTGAAACCCTGTCAAAAGAAAGAAAGGAAGGAAGGAAGGAAAGAAAAGAAAAGAAAAGGAACTCCTTTGTTGAATGAATAAGGGGATAAGCAAATGAAGTGTATAGGGAAGGACACACACATTGGAAAACTCTAGATACTGAGTGTTTTCACAGCCTTTGTCCAGCCTGTGTTACAAAAGGGTCATGTTGAGGTAGATTAACTGGGCCTCCAGTATCATCTTAGCTCAGGCTGCTGTAACAGGGTAACATACGGTGGTTCAGACAACAGGCATTTCTCTCTGGTGGTTCTGGAGGCTGGGAAGTCCAAGATCAAGATGCTGGCAGATTCAACTCCTGGGGAAGGCTCTCTTCCTGCTTTACAGATGATTGCCTTCTCACTGTGTTCCTCACATGGCAGAGAGAAAGAGAGAGAAAGAGTATGTGGTCTCTGTTCCTTTTCTTATAAGACACTAATCCCATCATGGGGGCCCATCCTCATGACCTCATCTAAACCGAATTACTTCCCAAAGGGCCCACCTCCAAATACCATCACATTGGGAGTTAGGACTTCAACAAATGAATTGGGGTGAGGCAAGGCACAAACATTCAGTCCATAATGTAGTGCATTAAAATTACACATTTTGGGTCCCTGCTTTGGCACAAAAGTTTGATCGCTGTAATAGAATTCTAAAGTGACCCCCAAGATTCCCTCACCCAGTGTGCACAACCTGTGTAATCCCCATCCCTTGAGTGGGTGGGCCTGGCCTAATCAAGTGAACTCTTTAAAAGAGGGTGTAGAGGTTAGAGATCAAAGAAGTCAGAGAGATTGGAAGCATGAGAGGGATTTTTCTTGAAGGAACCAATAGCTACATTATAAGAGGGCTACAGGATGAGAAAATAGGAGAGGCCTCCAGGAGCTCAGAGCAGTCCCCAGTAACAGCCAGCAGGAGGTGGGCAACTCAGTCCTACAACCACAAGCAACTAAATTTTTGATGCCAATCTTATGAGACCCTACGCAGAGAACGCAGCCACACCACACCTGCACTTCTGCCTCACTTTCTTGCTGGCTGTTACTGGGGACTGCTCTGAGCTCCTAGGTGATCACAAATTTGTGTTTCATTAAGCCGCTAGGTTTATAGTAATTTGTTACATAGCGTAGAAAGCTTATCTCCTTTCTACAATAGATCAGTCCACCTCTCCTGGGTCCCGTCTTATTAAAAATAGCTCTCATGTGGTTGTTGATTACATTTTTCCCTCGCATTAATATATAACCTGTTCCTTTTAATCTATAACCTTCTTCTTTTTTCCCCTACTGTTTCCTTTGGGAATTTACATAGCAATTTAGAATCTACTACACACATTGCTATTTGAACACTCACAGAAAACTATTATCTTCCCCCCGCCCTCTACAAAGCATCTCCAGGGCTCATATTATTGTGAGGCCTCTATTTTCATCCTTGCAACCAATGTTCAGAGCTTACAGAGCTTATCATGTTTATTATATAACAATAAGACACAAGCCAAAACAACTTGCTGCTGGGCTTTTAAACATAGCAACAGCAGAAATCTTTTCTGGGCTTGAGGAAGAGCCACTTCAAATGTCTACTAATTTCAGCAATTTTCTGGTCTATGGAATGAAAAGTCTAAAACTCACAGCCCTCTGCTCCACCATCGGACTTCATGACGCAAGGGGGCGGGTGGGGAAGAAAGTGGCGCGCTCCCTGGTTGTTGGGATTCACAGGCTGCCTCTCAAAGGAGTATTGCCTGGGTGGCGAATGCTCTTGGAGGAGAAAAGAGAAAGGCATGAAACGGGGACCCTTCAAAGTTGCCACCATGGTAATGTCACTCAGTGGCACAGGGCTTGTTCCTCCCTTTTGTTCTCTTTTCTTTTTTTTTTTTTGAGACGGAATCTCGGAGTCTCGTTCTGTCACCCAGGCTGGAGTGCAGTGGCGCTATCTCAGCTCACTGCAAGCTCTGCCTCCTGGGTTCACACCATTCTCCTCCCTCAGCCTCCCGAGTGGCTGGGACTACAGGTGCCTGCCACCACGCCTGGCTAATTTTTTGTATTTTTATTAGAGACGGGGTTTCACCATGTTAGGATAGTCTCGATCTCCGGACCTCATGATCCACCTGCCTCGGCCTCCCAAAGTGCTGGCATTACAGGTGGGAGCTACCGCGCCCGGCCCCTTTTGTTCTCTTTTCTAATGGGAGGACCATCAGCAGTTGTATTCAAATGAAGAGCTCATTTAGTTATAAGCACTGAAAACCTAATCCGGTTTAAGCACAGCAGGTTTCTTGGCTGACATAGTGGATTGAGCCAAGGCTGTGCTGTTCCCTTGACCTCCCTGTTTGGTTTCATTCTCAGGCACCCACTCCCCACACAATGCCCTTCACTTCCCCACCCCTAACCCAAATCTCTGGCCTCACCCCATGGAAAAAGGGTGCCTCTTTCCTCCATTCCAGCCATGAACGCTGGGCTGACCATTTGAGCTTTGGTCACATGTCCTCCCCTTAAATCAGTGCAGTGGCCAGGGAGATGGAACCCACTGTTTGGCCAGCACAGGGCATGTGTGTCTATTTCTAGAGCAGGAAGACGAGGTCACGAGGACTGAGTGTGGGGAAAGGCTGGGTCCCCAGAGGAAAACCAGGGTGCCATTACCATTGGATGGTGGAGTGGACACTGGGTGAACCACGGATGGCCTCCAGCAGCAGGACCTGTCCCAGTACCAGATAGAGCTGGGAAGGCTTGAAGCCCGGAGAGACCATGGGGAGCAGAGGCTTCTCCCCAGCTCTGTGCTTCCACTGAGCCACCCCAGCATCCTGCACGTTCATCTATGTGTGTGTGTACCTCTCACCCAGGCTGCCTGCCTGGAAGTAGAGTCAACGTGGAGGTGCATAGCACAGTGTTTCTCTGCCTCGGGCCTTCTAATTTCCTCTCTTGGCCCACAAGGGGTGGGAATTTCTGTGCCCTGTCCCTGTGTTCCTCTGAGAGTGGACTGTCTTCTCTCCCTTCACAAAAATCTGAGGGCTGTATGAAGACTTCACGTGGGGGGCCTGGCCTGCTGTGGGTGGGGGTCTGTGTGCAGCAGGAAGTGGGAAGCTGGAGTAACCCTGGGTCCCAAGCCTTTGGAAAGCCACATTGTCCCTAGAGCTGTCACTCGTGGGGTTATTCCGTCTCTACTCGTGTCCTGTTGGATCTGCCACACAGCAGGACCTCTCTGTATCCACTTCCTATGGGTTCTCCCCAGAGCATCTTTCAGGGGTGCCATGACCCCTGCTTTCTGGATTGAGGCGGTAGGAAGGGCTCTCTCTTGTTTCTAATTGAACATTGGCCTATGCCAGACTGACCAAATACTCCCTGATCATTCAAAGTGTCTCCTCCATGCCCTTGGGCAGGTTCCATTTCTGCTTAGCCGGAGAGACTTCCCTATTCACCAACAATGAGTTAAACACTCTTTGATGGGGAAGGTAAAAGATTTTCCCTATGTAGGATACATACTTGGAAATTTAGCTCTTAGCAGTTGGGTGTGCTATATGCAAAAGTAAAGTGCCAATTAGTTTTGCTGAATTTTATTAATATTGGGGGTCCATTATAAAACCACCCATTAGGTCTATAACAGCACAACTTAAGATATATCCTAGTGGGGTTATCTATTTGATTCATGATGCTTAAATCGTTAATTTTATACTTAACACAGGGAATGTGATTGAATGATTCATTTATGTAGCAAAGTTGTACTTATTAAATATTTACTCAGTGTAAGGTACTGAGCCAAGGAATACAAAGATAGCTAACACTCATTTCTTCTCCTCCAAAAGTTTATAATCTACTAGATGAAGCAAGTGCGTAGCACAAAAATAGCTAAATCTGTTTCTTTGGGAAGACAGCTTATTGGAAGTTCACCTAACTTCAAGCTTGAGGAGCTTTTACTGAAACTAACTAAGGTTTGGCTCAGGTGTCTGGTATTAAAAAGGGCCACTCAGAAGCTCCAAATCCCAGGAAAGGTTCTAGATACTGGGGAGGGGCTATAGAGTTTCAGGGATTCTTTTGCTTCAAAATTAAGTAAGAATTTTTTGACTGCTCTGAAAGAAGCTATGTGAAACCCAGTGGGAAAAAAATGACTAAATTATTCTTGATCTTTTGGCATTTAACAGAGCAAAATGTAAGTGGAAAGGAAGCAGGAATATCAGATTATTAATGGCACATTAACTATTTGAAGAACGTGTTGGTCCATAGAGTGTGCAGAGAATCCAGTAAAGGGAATGTATCATGTGACGTCAGAACAGATGGATGTCACATTGAGTCAGCAATGATGAGGGGACAGGTGTTGGACATTGACAGGGTCTGCTATAGTCACCAGGGAGAAGCTGTCTCAAAGACTTGAGCCCCAAGTCTAAACATCTCTGGAAAGGGCCCTGATTTGGCCTATCTTTCGTCACAAGTCACCCTTGGGCCAATCACCTTGGGCCCAAAATAGCTGATGATTCTGTAGTAGCCATGGGAGCTACTGGGGTGGGAACATGTGGGGAAAGTAACTGTGAGGGGTGTGTTCTAACTGGGGAGTTAGTCCTAGAAAAAGGGTGTCCAGTATGCCTGACTTTAGCTGGAGACATTTCTGTAGCTCAGCTTTAATTTTCCAGTATTTGGCATTGAGTTACTATTGTTGCTTCTACAACTCTGACATGAAGTCCCAGTTCTAAAAAAAAAAAAAAAAAAAAAAAAAAAGCCATGGATGAGACAATAAAATGCCCATCTGGATTGTTGCAGCAAGGTATTGTTCTTCACCCTGCTCCATATGAGTCTTGCCCCAGTAACTCGGTCCTTCTAGGACTGGACTTCTCAGAGACGGGGGTTTGTATGAGTCTGTTCTAATGCTGCTGATAAAGACATACCCGAGACTGGGTAATTTATAAAGAAAAATAGGTTTAATGAACTCACAGTTCCACATGGCTGAGGAGACCTCACAATCAAAGGCAAAATGCACATCTTACATGGCAGCAGGCAAGAGAGAATGAGAGCCAAGCAAAAGGGGAAACTCCTTATAAAACCATCAGATCTCATGAGACTTATTCACCACCATAAGAACACTATGGGGGAAACCACCCCCACGATTCAATCGTCTCCCACCAGATCCCTCCCACAACACGTGGGACTTATGAGAGCTACAATTCAAAAGGAGATTCGGGTGGGGACACAGCCAAACCATCTCAGGGTCCTTACCCTCAACCTGGGCCTATGACCCAGCTCCACTCTCGCTGGTAGACTAACCTGATGCTAACTGCAGAACTTCCTGCTTTCCTGGAATCCCAGCTGCTGTGCTTTTAGCTCCATGTCTGCCTCTTCCTGCTGCAGTTAGCTGAGCCATGATGACTGCCTCACAAAGGCTGCCTGCAAGGCAAGGCTCAGCGTGAAGGCTTTGCAGAGACTTGACCCACGGAGCGAAACAGTAAGAGACTGAGAGAGTCAGGTTCCTGGAGGCAGCCGGCACCAAAATTGTCTGGAGGGCAGGGTGACTCCAAAAGACCGTCTGGGGGAGTTCTCACACGTTCCTGACATCTTCTCTCCATACTTTTGGCACAGGGAATTTCAGCTGGCTGGAGTGGGTGGACGAGGTGGAATAAAAAAAAAAAAAATGAAGACAGCTTTAGACACCAAAATCACAAAATCTTACTGTGGAGTCTATCCATTCCTGGACATTTGGCTTGTTTAGGAGGATGCTTGAAATCCACATGCAAATGCAGGTTACACTGAGACCAACACATCACCCTCCAGCGCTTTCCAGTGCTGGATGTGACCTTTCAGAAACCTCCCTGGGGAGGGTCTTTGCCATCTCCTCCCCTCCCCAGAGCACTGTAGGGTAAAGGAGGGCTAAGAGTGAAGCTTGGCAGTAAACTGGCAGTGTGTGCCTCTTCTTACTTAGATCATTGAAACCACCTCAAAGGATGTGAAAAGCTAGCCCAGCATCTGTGAGGCTTGCTGGACTCCAGAGATGACTTCTAAGACCGAGGCCACAGGCTAGGCAGGAAAGGTTTCTCTGCTCTCTAGGGAGTAAAGAAGTCATCAAGACTGGGCGCAATGGCTCTCACCTGTAACCCAACACATTGGGAGGCCGAGGCGGGCAGATCCCCTGAACCCAGGAGTTTGGGACCAGCCTGGGCAACATAGTGGGATCCCCATCTCTACAAAAAATACAAAATCCCCTGAGCCCAGGAGTTTGAGATCAGCCTGGGCAACATAGTGGGATCCCCATCTCTACAAAAAATACAAAATCCCCTGAGCCCAGGAGTTTGAGATCAGCCTGGGCAACATAGTGGGACACCCATCTCTACAAAAAATACAAAAATTAGGCCGGCGTGGTGGTACACACCTGTAGTCCCAGCTACTCTGGAGGCTGAGATGGGAGAATTACTTGAGCCAGGGAGGTGGAGGCTGCAGTGAGCTGCGTTTGCTCCACTGAGCCACTGCACTCTAGTCTGGGTGACAAAGCAAGACCTTGTCTCAAAGAACAAAAACAAAACAAAACAAAAAAAAACAAAAAAAAGGAGTGATCAAAACATCTGGTTTTTAAAACTTCAGGGACATGAGGAGACAATGATCTCTAAGGTACACAAGTCCTTTGTTTTTAGAAAGAATCACTAGATTTTTTTTTACAGCAAACTCTCATAGTTAATAACAATATGTTGTATATTTGAAAATTGCTAAGAGAGTAGATCTTAAGTGTTCTCACTACAAAAAATAAGTGTGTGAGGTAATGCATACGTTAAATAGCTTGATTTAGCCATTCTACAATGTGTGTGTGTGTGTGTATATATATATAAACATCATGTTTTATACCATAAATATATACAATCTTTACTTGCCAATTTAAAAAAGAAAAAGCCAACTCTCAAAAGAGAGGAGTGGTAGAGATGGTGCTAATGCTCTGTCCAGTTCTTTGTTCTTTGTTCTTTGTTCTTTTTATTCTGAGCATTTTGGTGGAGGCAGCGTGGCCCAGGAGGAGGATGGGGCTGGAAGGCAGGCTGTGTAGCGGGGATGCTGGCTGGGCCCTTTCCTAGCTGTGTGACCTTGGGCAACTTACATAACCTCCTGAGCCATAGTCTCTTTATCTAAAAATGGGCATAATAAGAGAATAACTGTTGTAAAAAATGAAATGAAAGAATGCATGTCGGCTGGGCATGGTGGCTCACGCCTGTAATCCCAGCACTTTGGGAGGCCGAGGCAGGTGGATCACCTGAGGCCAGGAGTTCGAGGCCAGCCTGGCCAATATGGTGAAACCCTGTCTCTACTAAAAATACAAAAATTAGCCAGGCGTGGTGGCACGTACCTGTAGTCCCAGCTACTCGGGAAGCTGAGGCAGGAGAATTGCTTGAATTCTTGAATTGAATTCTTGAATTGCGGCGGTGGTTGCAGTGAGCCAAGATTGTGCCACTGCACTCCAGCCTAGGTGACAGAGTGAGACTGTCTAAAAATGAAAAAAAGAAGAATGCATGTCAACCCTTAGCTCACTACTTGACTCATGATAGAATCTCAGGAAGACAGATATTTTGTGAAAGGGCGAGGATAGAAGGTGGAATAGGATGAAAGCAGGCATCTCCAGTGGGTGTCATGAATGGGCCTCACCCCTTTTAAGCTCCGTGAGCCTCTGTCTTTGTCCTGCCCATCCTGGAATCTCCAGCACCAACCAGGGGACTGGTGGAGAGTGGGCTCTAAGGAAATGCTTGTTAGACTGAATAGAGCCTTGGCTGAGCCCTCATGGAGGACAGATTTGCAGAAAGGGAAGGAAGACATGTGGGAGAGGAAAGGACAGAGAGAGAGGAGTGAGGCAGCAGGAGGGGACAAAGGCCACACATTGGGACAAAGATTCCCAGTGATAACCTCTAACTGTGCCCTGTCTTTAGAGCCCCCATAAAATGAAAGGACTTGCAATGGAATTGTTTCAAAAGTGCTTTGGAAGCCAGATGGGAAGCTTATGTAATTGTTTTTACTTGCGAGCTCAAGTGAAAATAATGAGCCCTTTTCTTGCCTGCAGGGGAAGAAGTTTTTGGTTGAGACATCCTCCACCTTTCTCTGTCCACCACAGCTGGGACAGAGCCCTCCCATGTGCTCTGCAGATGCCCTTCGGAAAAGCTGCCTCTTCTATGCGGTGCTTCTGGGCAGCTGGGGAGCAGGCGTGGGGACAAGTGCTGGGAGGTAGGGCAGGGCGGGGAGAACTGGATGTTCCATCCTCACAACGAAACACATCCCACATCTCCTCCCAGAGGCAAAGAGACATCAAAAGAGGACCAAATTCTGAGGCTGGGTATAGGATGGTGGGGTGGGGACTAGAGAGAGACTTTTAAGGCTTTTAATCCTTAAAGACTAGTTATAGATATGTAGTATATGAAAGCTGTTGGAAAATGGTAAAGTGCTGTACAAATACAGTCATCATTCGATATCTGAGGGGGATTGATTCCAGGACCCCCTCACCCCAGGACACCAAAATCCAAGGATGCTTAAGTCCACAATATAAAATGGTGTAGTATTTGCATATAACCTACACACAGCCTCCCATATACTTTAAATCATCTCTAGGTTACTTTTAAAACCTAATAAAATGTAAGCGCTATACAAATGGTCATTACACTGTATTGATTTTTTAAATTGTATTATTTTTATTGTTGTTGTTGTTGTTGTTTAATGTTTTCAATCTGCAATTGGTTGAGTCCATGGATGCGGACCCAGCAGGTAGGGAAGGCTGACTATATAAAGCTTTGTTAGTTATTAGTGTAGGGAGAAGAAAAAATACCAAAACAAGAGGTAGGGCAGGATTCTTCTGCCTGCCTTGCTGCTCACCCCTTGATGGGCAGGCCCACTGCAAGCCTCTCTGGATCTTCATTTTTCACCTGTAAAACAAGGTTAATCTCCCTGATCCTACCCATGGTCAAAAATGATCCCCGGCTTTTTCACGCTCCCAAGGCACGTGGCCCAGGTTTTTACTTGACCTGTATTTCACTCTGTCTAGTGCGTGATTTTTCTCAATACTTCAGCTAATTGTTTACACAACTCCTGACTCAGCAGATTATAAGCTCCATGAAGGCAGGGACTGATGGGGAACATAGTCAATAATTTTTCATTTTCAGTCATTTACTTAAATATTTATTGAGGTCACTAGGCACTGTGTTAAACTCCAGAAATATAGCAGCGAGCAACTCAGACAAAATCTCAGCTCTCTCACTTTGCTTTCTGGTGGGGAAGATAGATAGTAATGATAAAACATAACATAAACAGGAAAAATAAAAGACAGCAGGGCTCCTGTGTTGCACACCTGCAGGGGGCACTGTTTGCACCAATGTAATATTAATGGCTGTCTCTAATGTGCAAAGGCAGCGGCTCTGGGGATGCTATATCCCCAGGGTCTGGCCTAATGCTTGATATGTGGTAAGCATTCTGTAAATATTTATTCAAGAATAAGTGAATGAATAAATGAGTGGTCTTAGTGTGGTAAAGTCTTTTAATATCCAACTATATCCATGTTTCTCTCTTTTGGCATACACCTGCTGGCTCCTTGGAGTTAGTAAAGCCATGGGACTGATTCTGCCCAGTGAGATGTAAGCAGAAGTGTTGGAATTTACTTCTGGATGAGCACCTGACCACCTCCAGCTGTTTCTTCCCCTGCTGCAATGACTAGGGCAGCTGCAAGATAGTGGATTCTCCATTGCCCTGAGCCCCTGAGTGATTTTGTGGAGCAGAGCAGACCCTCATTGGATATGAAGCATTTGCAAGATGAGCCTTTGTTATGTTAAGGCCCCAAGACTGTGGGGTTGTTTGTTACCATGGCATAGCCCAACCCATTCTGACTGATGGTCTCACTCTCCTGTAAGCTATCTGAGGGTGGGGCCGTGGGGCTCAGCATAGGAGCAATCTGTAAATGTTCAAAAAGAATTGATAGAAGAAAGAGTAATTCACATTGATTAATAAATATTATCAGTCTCTTTTCCCTCTGCTTGAATTCCTCAGCTCTTAGGAAACAGGATGGCTAGATTGTTCATTTCCAATGGGTGGGTTTCCTTTTATCCCTAAAGCCCTCTCTGTGGCAGGTGAGGCAATGCTGCCCTTTTCCACACATGAAAAAAACACCAGTTTCTTTCCATGCGACTCAAACAATCTGGAGGAAGGACATAGGAAAACCCCCAGAGTTGGAGCAAATGGGGTCTTTGCCTACTCAAGCCTCTTCAGTGTGGCTTGCATGAAACAGAGAGATATTTGCAGCTGTACTGTGAATCCAGACAAGTACGGACAAAAATTCTCCATTCCCCACAGGGTGGAGAATACACTGCTATAGATCTCTTTCCTTAGACCAGGGGTCCTCAGACCGTGGCGTGCATCTGAGTCCCCTGGAGGGCTGATTCAAACAGATTGTCAGTGCCCACCCCAGAATCTGTGATGTAATTTGTTTGGAGTGGGGACTGGGAATGTGCATTTCTAATAAACTCTCTGATGAAGCTGATGCTACAAATCCAGGGACTATATTTGGAGAAACCATTGCATACGACTGATGTTCTCTCTGGCTTTCAAAGTCAAGAGTAAATGCAACACCTGTGAGACTAGCGCTATAACCTGTTATTAGTCATTAACAACATGGGATCAACTAATTTTTTTCAGATTACCCAGATGATAAGGGGAGACAAGATGGAGGAAATAAAAGTTTCAGGAAGGGGTGGGCCTGGGAAAGAATACAGTTTTGAGGACTGCTGCCCAGAGGAGGGACTGACGATGTCTTAAAAGAAGGTCCTGGGGTTGAGAGCCAGAAGGAACCAGGGGCCAATATGGGTGCAGAGGTGGCCGTGGAAAGACAAATTTGAGGGCTTATCCTTGCATAGTGAAAAGAGGGCCTGGACTTGGAGTCCAAAATCCTGCAGGCCTTTCCCATGAGACCTTGTAGCTGCTGGCAGCAGCTGAGGTGAGCCACTTTGTTAAGTTGTTAAGCAGACTTAACAGCTCTTGTAGGGAGAGCGTGCCAGGGTTAACTCAGCCTCCAGCCTTAACCTCTTTTGCACGAGGAGGTAGGTAAGCCTTTCCCAGGACCCCATGCCCAGTGCACTGTCTGCATCGAGCCTGTGTTCCAGCATCTTCCTGCTGGCTTATTATCAGTGGTCCCCAGCAGAACAGAGTTGTGCTGTGCCAAGGGTTAGCGTAGGTGGCTGTGACTCACTCAGCCTCCTGGGGAAGCAGATGCTGCCACTGTAACCAGCGCTGCCAGGGAAACAGGCTAAATAAATCCCAGATCCTTGTAGAGGGCAGAGAACAAGCTGCCTGCAGCCAGTGAGCCAGCAGCTCTGGTTCTGTTCAGGTTCAGCCACTGCAACAGCCTGTGTCCAGCTCTCAGCTTCGGGACTAACTGGGGACTGGGATTGAGAACAGAAACAACAGAGCCTTGTGCAGAGGCTGGAGCATGTGACGAGAGGTGATGTATTAGTCCGTTTTCATGCTGCTGATAAGACGTCCTCGAGACTGGGTAATTTATAAAGAAAAAGAGGTTTAATGGACTCACAGTTCCACATGGCTGGGGAGG
This sequence comes from Homo sapiens, assembly GCF_000001405.40. Lineage (NCBI taxonomy): Eukaryota > Metazoa > Chordata > Mammalia > Primates > Hominidae > Homo > Homo sapiens. Next base: position 71,206,659 of record NC_000014.9, on the reverse strand, counting down.
CCTCACAATCATGGCGGAAGGCAAGGGAAGAACAAAGGCAGGTCTTACATGGTGGCAGGCAAAGTGAGAACGAGAACCAAGTGAAAGGGGTTTCCCCTTATAAAACCATCAGATCTCGTGATACTTATTCACTACCAAGAGAACAGTATGGGGGAAACCATGCCCATGATTCATTTATCTCCCACTGGGTCCCTCCTACAAAATGTGGGAATTATGGGAGCTAACGATGAGATTTGGGTGGGGACACAGCCAAACCATATCAAGTGATCAGAAGGCTGTGTCTGATGATGGGTGCCCATGCACAGCTGCAGCACCCATGCTAAGCCTTAGTCACTAGGCTGATGAGTTCACACAGATCCCTCTCTGAAAATCTGTGATATTTGTGCTTACTGTTGGGTTGGGGAGAAGAGATGAGAAACTCAACTCTTTTTTTTTTAAGACAGGGTCTCACTCTGTCACCCAGGCTGGAGTGCATTGGTGCGATCTTGACTCACTGCAACCTCTGCTTCCTTGGTTCAAGCTATTCTCATGCCTCAGCTTCCTAAGTAGCTGGGACTATAGGCACGGGACACCACATCTGGCTAATTTTTGCATTTCTTGGTAGAGATGGGATTTCACCATGTTGGCCAGGCTGGTCTTGAACTCCTGATCTCAAGTGATTCACCCGCCTTGGCCTCCCAAAGTGCTGGGATTACAGACGTGAGCCACTGTGCCTGGCCAAGAAACTCACTCTTGATTCTCTTCTCCTTCCTATTTGGAAAGGAGCAGCTCCCTCACTAGACAATGTGAAGCTGCCCTCTATTCCAAATGGCCAGAAATCGACCCCCTGAGAAGTGTCTGCTTTGTCATAAACCAAGAAGAGGAAACTGAGGCCAGAAGATGCAATGACCTAGCCAAAGCCCCACAGAGGCTTTTAGAGGCAGCGTCAGGCTGGGCTCCTGGTATCCTGGACACAGAGCCTCATCATTTCCCACTGGACACTGCACCCCATGGAAACAATTGTATGGACCTTAGGGAATTTGCTTTACCATGAATATCTGCTCTTACAGGCAGTGGGTGGTGCCATTAGTAACATACACTGCTTTTTCCATGAGCAGCAGGGAGTCTCTAGCCAACTTTCTCCAACTTCATCAACTCCTAATCCAGGCTAATGAGTCCCTGGCTCTACCAGTGAGATAGTGGAAATCCCAAGAGTTTTTAGGTTTGCCTAACATCCTATCATTGCAAGGTCAGGAACAGAACCAGAGGTGGGCCTCCTGGGTTTTCAAACCAGCCCTCCTGAGGTAGTGAATGTCCAAACTCATCAGTCTCACCTGATGATTCTCAGGTAATTTCCCTAGAAGTCCCCACTCCCTATTCCCAGACAAGGCTCACAACATGGCCCAGTGGTATTAGCACATTTTTATGGCCCCAGGTTTCCCTGAGGTAGGAGGCAAGACTTGACTCTGGAGGCTCGGCTCAGACACTGGACCAGGTTGAGGACTAGCTAAAACAGGGAGGAGGCGAAAGCACCTCTCCATAAGACACATCCACCAGCATGCCATGTCAGTTTACCATTGCCATGGCTACACCAGGAAGTTACCAGCCCTTCCATGGTAATGACCTGACAACCCATAAGTTACCACTCTTTTTCTAGAAATTTCTGCATAATCTTCCCCTTAATTTGCATATTATTAAAAGTGGGTATACACATGACTGCAGAACTGCCTCTGAGCTGCCATTCTGGGTGCACTGCCCTGCCTAGGGGTAGCCCTGCTCTCCTGCTGCTGCACACTGCTGCTTCAATCAAAGTTGCTGTCTAACACCACTGGCTCACCCTAGAATTCTTTCCTGGATGAAACTAAGAACCCTCCTGGGTTAAGCCCCAACTTAGGGGCTCATCTGCCCTGCATTACTCCCAGGCTCCCAGCAGCCACCTCAAGCCTTCCTTGCTTCTCAAGCCCCACAGAGGGGGCTGTGAGGGACCTTCTCTCTCTACCTTCCTCTTAGATTTCACAGGAGGAATAAGGGCCACTGGATGGGCCTCACTGTCCTTCCTGACCTTGCCTTCCTGTCTCCTGTTTAAGGAAAATCCCTTTTCCTGCATCCTGATCCCTTCCCTCCCTGCCATATCTTTGCTCCATAAATTATCTCCCCTCTCCTAATTATTCAACATCCTCCTTTCTACAAGTTCCTCCTCCTCAGCCTGTAAACTTGTTTATGTCTCTCCCACATAAAAGAAAAAAACCAGCTACATCAAATGCGCATTCCTCCCTGGTGACTCTCCTTCTCTACCTGAAACGCCTCTTATCAGAGTAACCTGCACTTTTTGCCTCCCCTTTCTTTCCTCTCAATGGGTCCCAATCTCTTTCTGTAACTTGCTGTGTAAGCTTGGGCAAGTGACTTAACCTCTCTGAGCCTCTCAGTGTATTCATCCATAAAATGAAAATAATCATACTTTCTTTGTAGAGTTGTGAAAATTTAATGAAATTCCACACACAAAACTCCCAACACAGTGCGTGGCACATGGTGGGTGTTGAGTAAATGGAGTGGCTGCTTTAGTTATTTCGATCCAATGCTGTCTGAATCTGGCCCTGTTGCTCTCTTGAAATTGTTCCTGCAAGGTCACCAAGAGCCTTTTTTTTTTTTTTTTTTTTTTTTTGAGACAGAGTCTCACTCTGTTGCCAGGCTGGAGTGCAGTAGCGCCATCTCAGCTCACTGCAAGCTCCGCCTCCCAGGTTCAAGCGATTCTCCTGCCTCAGCCTCCTGAGTAGCTGGGACTACAGGTGCATGCCACCATGTCCGGCTAATTTTTTTTTTTTTGTATTTTTAGTAGAGATGGGGTTTCACCATGTTGACCAGGATGGTCTCAATATCCTGACCTTGTGATCTGCCCACCTCAGCCTCCAAAAGTGCTGGGATTACAGGCGTGAGCCACTGCGCCCAGCCAAGAGCCTTCTGATGACCTGTTACACGCTATCCCCCTCAGTGCCCATCCTGCTTGGCCACTCTTCAGCATTGTGGACTTTACCCTCAGTCTAGAGTTTTCCTTTCCTTTTCTTGTCTGCTCCTTCTCCATCGCTTTCCCTCACTCTTCCTCCACCCGTTTCTGCAATGCGTGCCCAGGTCTCTGTCCTTGTGGTTCTTATTGCACATTCCCGTGGGCTTTCTCATCCATGTCTAGGAATTACATGAGTCTTCCCGATTAATCTTCATAAAGCATGAAGAGTCCTGAGTTGTCATTCCCTTTTTCAACAGTTGTCAGTGGTTCCCTGTCTCCCTCAGCAGGAAACCCTCTGTCCCCAGCACTGGCTCACAGGGATCTCCAGTGCTGGATCCCGGGATATGCTAGGTTTGGCTCTTGAACATCCACTGCACCCCTCGTCCTTTAATCCACCTGCAGTGGATGCAGGGAGGGGCCCCCTAGATCCCTCTGCAGCAGTTATTTCCCCCGTTGCTGGGTGTGCTGTTAGCAGACCACCCTGAGCTGTCAGCCCTCTTTGGGAATTGTCTCAGCTGAAGGGATTCACTTTGTCCAACATCACACCCTTTCCCAGAGCAGCCTGCATTCCGTGACATCAGTGTGGGAGTGTAAATTCTTGAGCCCTGTGCCCTAACTCAGGAAATCTCTGAGGAGTTGCAACTCCAAAGCTCCTCAGAGGTCAGCTGAGGCCTTGGTGGAGACTGCATCAACAGTTGCAGCCCAACTTCTCCTGCCCAATCCTGCCCCCTTCCCTTCTCTTCCCCTCTCCTTTGCTCCCCTTCCCCAGATGTTACCCCGGGGAGCACTCAACAGACTCCCTGCACATTCATCTCCATCACAGTCCACTTCTCAAGGACACAGCCCAGGACACTACTACCCACATCACCCTACTTGCCTCACTTGAGGAATTCCCCTGCTGCATTCTTTCCTTCCTTGATTTCTTGGTTCACACCGTCCCCTCTAATTATCCTGTCCTTTCCTCCTGTCTCTACCTGTCAAAATGCTCCTTGTTCTTCAAGGCTCTGCTCAAATGGCACCTTCCGCATGACGTTTTTATTTGATGTTCTCTGGTTTACCTCTCTCCACCTCTAAGGTAGAAGATACCACTCCCTTCTTTTTGCCTGGGCTCTGAAATTGCCCCAGAACCAATTTGTGATGGTTATTTTATTTTATTTTTGAAGCAAGGTCTTGCTCTGTCACCCAGGCTGGAGTATAGTGACTTGACCTCAGCTCACTGCTACCTCCACCACCCGGCTCAAGCAATCCTCTTACCTCAGCCCCGCCAAACAGCTAGGACCACAGGTGTGTGCCACCACACCTGGCTAATTTTTTGTATTTTTGGTAGAGACAAAGTTTCACCATGTTACCCAGGCTGGTCAAACTCCTAAGCTCAAGATATCCACCCATCTCAGCCTCCCAAAGTGCTGGGATTACAGGTGTGAGCCACTGCACCCGGCCTGTGATGGTTAATTTTAATGTTTCAACTTAGCTGATCCATGGAGTGCCCAGATAGTTGGTCAAATATTATTCTGGATGTTTCTGGATGAGATGAATACTTAAGCCAGCAGACTGAATAAAGCAGATTTCTCTCCCTAATGTGTGAGGGCCTCATTCAATCAGCCAAAGGCCTGAATAGAACAAAAAGGGTGACCTCCCAAGTAAGAATTCTTCCTGCCTAACAACCTTGGAACTGGGACACTAGCTTTATTCCCTGCTTTTGGACTTGAACTGAAATGTTGGCTCTTCCTGAGTCTCAGGCCTGCTGGCCTCCAAACTGGAACTGTTTCACCTGTTCTCCTGGTTTTCAGGCCTTCGGACTTGGACTGGAACTAAACTATGAGCTCTCTTGGGTCTCAGCTTGTCGACTCACCCAGCAAATCTCGGGACTTGCCAGCTTCTGTAATTGTGTGAGCCAGTTCCTTATAATAAATATCTTCTTCTATATATATACATCCTATTGGTTATGTTTCTCTGGAGAACCCTAACAAATACTATGGGAATAATAGATTTGGTCTGAAAATTAAGTGTTTTCATGCCTGTAGAAGCACTCTGAACAGTCCCTATACGTAGTTATCCCAGCACAATGAATGTTAGCTATTATTATTATGTGTGTCTTATTATCCTAGGCCTAGGATAATGTTTTAATAATTTTTATCTGACATATCAAGCCCAGAATAAATATTTGCTGATGGAACCCAATTATCTCCTGGCTTAAATGCTCCCACCCATGTATTACTATGATTTCAGCTCTCACTGCATCCCCAGCTGTTTCCAGGGTCTCTCTCTCTCTCTCTCTCTTTTTTAGAGTTAGAATCTTGCTCTGTTATCTAGGCTGGAGTATAGTGGTGCAATCATAGCTCAATGCAGTCTTGAACTCCTGGCCTCAAGACATCCTCCTACCTCATCCTCCAGAGTAGCTGAGACTACAATTGTGTCCTGCCACCACTCCCAGGCTAATTTTTATGTTGCTTTGGTAGGGATGCAGTCTCACTATGTTGCCTAGGCTGTTCTTGAACTGCTGGCTTCAAGTGATCCTCCTGCCTCAGCCTCCCGAAGTGCTGGGGTTACAAGTGTGAGCCACCGTGCCCGGCCATTTCCAGGGGTGTCTAAGGACATGCCTCCCATGTGTCCTGTCTGTCAGTTGCACTCATCACGATGCCTAGCATCTCAGCTCTTCCTCCTTGTCCTAGCCCCTCCCTCTCATCCTTGCTGGTGTCCACCATGGGCACATCAACATTTGTCTCATGTTCCCCACAGGTCCAGTTGTCAGGGCACAAGAGGGGAGGTGGCTTCCAAGTAGAGGGGTAGGGGAGAGTCTGCTCTGAGTCACTCACCTTCTCTTGAGCCCCAAAGAAGCTATACTTGTGCTCAAAGTTTCTTGAATAGCCTCCTTCAGCTTCAACCCTTGCCCTCCCTCCCTACCTCCCACCTCCAAATTGGACTCTAAACGAGTTCACAGGACCAACCAAAAAAAGAGATGTCTGGTCTGCTCTTCATCTCCTCTGGCCTTTTCTCTACCAAAAATCTTGTATCTTCCTGAGGCTACAGAAGAAGAACTTCCAGGAATGGAGACAGGAGAGCAGATACTGACGGGAGTGGGTAGCAGGGAGAAGAGCAGGGGATTGACCATGCAGGGGTAGCAGCAGCTGCTGCACAAAAGTCCCCAGGCACACTTAGTATATTCTTGTGAGATGCAGCAGAATCCCACCAAAAGACGAGCGAGGGTGAGACAGAGTAGGGACGGGACTCGGCCAACCCCGACTAAAGTATTTTTCCACACATGCCCGCTGACCACCAGGCCTTGTTGCACCACCCCCACCGGCACTATACCCGCTGACCAGAGCTTGCAAAGTGTCTGAGGAAACTAAGATAAGCAATATTCCACCATAAATCTTACTCAGTTGCCCACATGTGCATAGGCCAGGAGAATGACCGATTCTAATCCCTAGCCACATTGTAATTCTAAAATCTCTGCCCAGGAAGGGGTTTTTATCCACCACTTTCTGATCATGTGATGCATGTGTTGCATGATTCCTTACTGCATCTGTGCATCTTGCACTCCACCTGGCACATGGAATGATGCTCACCCACCTCGTGAATTACGCACGTGACCATCCTTAAGACGCCGTAATGCACTCTCCTTGGGGAGCCAGCTGGACAACCCTTCCTCCTGCACTGTCTCCCTTATGTCCAATCTCTCTGGCCATAGGTTTTAATAAAGTCTTGTCTGGAAAACTTGCTTGACCTCATGTTAATTTCTATTGCATGGGAGCCTAAGACCCTGTGGTCGTTAACCAGGGTAGAGCCCTCAGGGACTGAAAGTGGAGGCTCTGATTCTTAGTCTTGGAGCTGATGGGTCTTTGAAAGATGTGGAAGGAAATGTTTCCTTTGACCAGAGTCCATAGCTAAGAATCACCAGGTAGGCAGAACTGGCTCATCTCCTAGGGGAGGTAGAGAGGAGGCTCCACTTACACAGACTTTGCAGGGTCAGATTTCATGGTTGAAGGCAGCAGTCCTCTCTGCCCAGGCACTTGCAGCTTTGTGAGTGGCCAGTCTGACCATCATCCTCTTCCCTTTGGAGGACTGGGCACAGCCAGAGCCTCTCACACTGTGAGACGTCATTCCCATTGGAGTCTGCCCACTGGGAAGACACAGAAGCTCTTGACTCAAGGTGCTGCTGGAGATGGCAAGGCCATTCTGTGATGCCAGAGCCCAGGTTGTCAGTTTGCTTTCCCCTAGATTTCAGTACCCATCTCCTGTCCCTGGGCCTGAACAGGCTTCTGGAAAATGTACAGAAAGGCCAGCATACTTACAGCCTCACACAGATCTCCCCAAAGCCCTCTACGTACACCAAAATGTAGACTCCTACCTCATGGTCTAGAAGGCAGTCCCTCTCATGCAAGACTACTTGTCAGATGATCAATCTGTCTGGTTGGAGTAGTTTTCAGAACAGAAGGCTCTCTGCTTGATTAGGAAGTCTGTAGAATGGACTTTGGTTAGTAGGAATGTTGTATTAGGCTGTTCTTATATTGCTATAAAGAAATACCTGAGACTGGGGAATTTATAAAGAAAATAAACTTAATTCACTGACAGTACTGCAGGCTGTACAAGAAGCATGGTGCTGGCATCTGCTCAGCTTCTATTAAGGCCTCAGGAAGCTTACAATCATGGCAGAAGGCAAAGGGGGAGCAGGCATGTCACATGGCGAAAGCAGGAGCACACGTGAGTGGGGTGGGAGGTGCCACACACTTTTAAATAATCAGATCTAGTAAGAGCTTACTCACTCTGGTGAAGATAGCACCAAGCCACAGAGATTCGTCCCCATGGGCCAAACACGCCCCACCTGGCCCCACCTCCAGCAGTAGTGATTACATTTTAACATGAGATTTGGGTGGAGACAAATATCCAAACTGTGTCAAATGTCTTCCTGATTTTGATCTGAATTCTGCTTCCTTGTGATAATCGAAATGAGTGACTGTGCAAAAGTCTCAATCAATCAAGTTTACTAAGCCAGATTTGGCGTGTGTCTGGGAAAAACATGAGCTATTTTTCTGAAGAGGTTTTCGGGAGGTTTAGTATTTATACATTTCCTTCAAGGGGGTAGGCATGCAGGAAGAGAGCCAGGTTGGTGGTAAAGGGAATGGTTACATTCTTGTGAGCCTTTTGTTAATGCCCAGGAAATCTACATTTTACATAAGATAAGGGGAATGTTTCCAGAGAAAAAATGAGTGAAAGAAGAATCAATTATACAGACATCTCTGGGTAGGGGAGGAATGACTGCTCTCTTGTTTCTGCACCTGGGAATGTATGCTTGTAATTGACATTATCAGTCTGGAATGAAACAGACTTTCATTTTAGGAGCTAGACTTAGATTGTAGACCTAAAGTTACATTTGGCATGTCCTTATTTATGGGAGGCCAGCAAAAAAAAATAATAATTTACTTATGAATGATCTCTGGGGGTGGTCCTTTGTAGATGCCTGAGGCCTTACCCTTGTGTGGGGATCTGGCTAATGCAAGATGCTAGTAACAGCTACGTGGAAGGGGGTTCTGCCTGCTTAACCTCTTTTTGCACAAGGAGCATGGGAGTCCTGAGATCTTTTAATTTTCCTTTAGACTTGTAACTTCTACCCACCTCGTTCTGCTCTCTGGTCCTCAGAAGAAAATATCTAATCCATTCTCTAATTGGTCCTATGGGAGGTAAGGATGGAATTGTTTAAAGTGGATGTCTGGGGAGGCTAAAGGACTTGTGAAACAAGCTACAAGTGGAATTGGGGTTAGAACCCAAGTGTCTTAATTTCCCGGGTCAGTTCTCTTTCCATCATTCTGTATTTCATAATCCTTAACAATTGTTGTTGAATACTTACTGTGTGTGCCTGGAATACTGGGTGGGTGTTGGAGTCATAGGAGACCATGACCCTCTCTGCAGAGAGCTATCCGTTCAGCTCAGGGGATGTTCCTTGTGGAATAAACACGCACATACACACACACACACTCTCTCTCTCTCTCACACACATACACACACACACACACACACACACACACACACACACACACACACACACAATTCAAAGCACTTGAATCCTGGCCTCATCTTCACCCAGGAAGGTCAGCCTGGAAAACCAGCCTTCATCCTTGCTTTCAGCTGCTCCCTCCAGCACAAGCCAACAGACAGGGAGGAAGGGAAACCCAAGAAGGGCAGAGCCTGAACTCGAAAGGAAGAAGAAAGGCCGGAAGAAGAGTTTGAAAATGACAGCCACCAACCTTGGCTTGGAAAGAAGGTCCAGAGCCCACGGGGGTGTGTAGGGGAGGGAGCGGGTGGAGTCCATCGTGCTCACTAAGTGCCAAAGACAGTGGGGAGGTAGGGGAGCTGGGCCCGAGCCCCAGAACTGCAAACTGGAAATGCCAGGGCCACACTCAAGCAAGGCAGGCCCCAGTCATTTCCAAGGACCTGGACTTCTGGGCCAGACTTCACCACTACCAGAGATATGCTTTCATCTTTCTTAGAGGGAAGGCGTTCTGATTCCAGCGTCCTGCTGAGTCCAGCACCAACAGTAGTGCCTGGTAATCCAGCTGCATTCCCTGCACCCACCCACCTCCGCCACCCAGGATGATAGTACTTACACGGCTGAGTCATTTAGGCACAGAGAGACCCAAACCCTACTCTCTGGAGCTTGTGGATGCAAACGCTGACATACCTCCCAGATGCTCAGAAGTAGAACAAGTAGGGACTTAGTGGTCCAAACAACATTTACAGCCCAGCCTACCTTCTTTCACGGGGAGGGAGCTGGGAAAGGGAGCTGTGGCCTCTCCAAAGGCTGCACTTGGCTCTAGATGTCTGACTGTCAAGGAGCTGAAGGGCTCATGTCAGAATCCAGGGCTCCCAGTGTGGATCTGGAGAAAGTCAGCTCCAAAGGGGAGGAAGCAATATTCCTAAGTAACAATTATTAATAAGGATTCCCAAACAGATGAGACATGGAAGACAGATAGGGCTCTAGTTCTGTCTCTGCCATGAACAGCTGTATGGCCTTGGGAAGTCACTACACCTCTCTGAACTTTGGTTATGTCAGCTCTCACATGAGACATGATCTGCTCCACCTCCTTTGAAGGTGGTTGGGATCTGACATATATGAAAGTGGTTTGAAAAAGTTTAAATGGAAGGATGTTTTCTTATTCCGAATGAATGTTCTAGAAGGGTACCAGGCAAGGTCTTTTAATAAGGAATATTTTCTATTTTCTGGAGAATGTGCTTGTTTAAATATAGCTGTGTGGAAGCAGGCTCTGGAACACAGGACCTCGGCCTCCCACTGTGTCTGTCTCTTGGTGGGACGAAAGAAGCTTGTGAAATACAGCTGGGGCTTTTTAGGGGGAGTCTGTCCACTCCAAGGAACCTGCTGGAGTCGCAGCAGAGATTCTAGGATGCCGTGCAAATACCAGTGGAGCTCCTACACTGATGGGTGCTTAGTGTCAGGGTTTTAAAAGGCAAAGACCCTGCCCGGGAAGATCTTGGAGTGCAATGGATGAGGCAGAGGGTCTCAGAAAGCAACAAAAGGTAAGAGCCAAAGCAGAGGCTTATGTGTACGGAGGAGATTAATCAATGCTAGAGAAACCAGGGAAGGCTTCAAAGAAGAGGAGCCAAGTGGCCTATACAGATGCCAATGGTCGTGACAGACTCATCTGAGCCAAGGCCAGGGCAGAGGATTCGTATTTGAGATCATGGGAAGAAGTTGGGTCTAGGAAGCTGTGAGGCAAAAGAAGCCACAGGAGGAAGGTGCTGCAGAAGCACAAGCAGATCACCAGCCAGGGAAACAGGGGCCAGAGATTGCAGTCAGCATCCCTGAGTCTAGAGCTTGGACCACGTGAGAGTGGAGCCCACCTACAAACAGCTCGGGAACATCCAAAGCTTCTAGGTTGACCCATGGATCTATGGCCTGCATTTTTTCCTCAGTTTCACGGGCCACCTGGTGTAGGGCACATGGAATGATCCTCCTGACTTAAAGGACCAGGTTCAGCACAGACAGTGAATAGGACTTCCAAAGATGGAGATGGGAGATGATGGGTGGGAAGGTAGGGGATGAAATGCCAGTGAAGGCCCCTGTGTGATGACAGGCCCGGCATGGGATGGTAGAGGCCACTGTCAGAATCAGGGAAGGCTGCGAAATCTGATGTGATTTTATTTGGTGAGGGTGGGGGTTAAAATGAAAGGCAAGGATGGAAAGTCAGGGAAGGCCAGCGCTTAATGCACACCCAGAAATCTGGACTTTATGCTGCAGGCAGTGGGGAGCCGTTGGCTGGTTTTGAGAATATCTCACATGGCTGATTCTTCTGGCAACAATGTGGGGAAACTCAGGTGAAAAAGACCTCTTGGCAAGAAGAAATAGAGACCTTAACAAGAGCAGGAGTAGTAGAGAATAAAATATTTCAAAGAAATTCTGGAGGCAGAATCAATAATACCTCGTGATAGGTTGAAAATGGGAACCAGGCATGAAGAAAAAGCCCAAGGAGATTTTAAATTGCAAAAGCTCGTGTTGAGGAAGATGGTGATATAAACAGAGAAAATACAGGACTCAAAATTGGAAATATGAAAAGCAGAGGATGTTTATGAGAAAAAAATGATGAATTCAGTTGTAAATATGTTGAAATTGAGGTATGTGTCAGGTCACCTGTGTGTCAGCATCCATTAGATATTTCGAAACACAAGTCTCCAGCGAAAGAGGGAGGTAGATTGGAGATGAGCAACAAAGTCATGGAAATAACTGATATTTAAAAGGAGAGGGTGTAAAATAAAAGGAGAAAAGGGCTTGAAAAGAAAACCATGAGACATGCACAAGCATAAGTTCTCAGGAAGGAAAGAAGAATCAAGGAAGGAGGCAAAGATGTTGTGGTTGACAAAGGAGAAGGGAAAAACTGAGTGCTCTATTCCTGATACTGAGGAAGGCACTGCAGAAACAGGGTCAAGACATTAGTCAGGTCTCTTTTATTGTAAGGGAGTGAAAATCAACTCCAATAATGTCAATGTCAAGTGGATTTATTGGCTTGAAATTCAACCGGTGTGGAATAGTGATATTGGCTGAAGTGGCACTTGTTTTGCAGCCTTCCAATGTTGATGTCCCCCTCTCAACAGCATGCAGTTTTCCTTTTGAGGCATTTACTCTTCCCTGAGAGATGCAGTCTGGTGGGGCCCATCCCTAACTAAGGATCAGGCTTGTGCCTCCAGCTGGGCCAATCTAACAGAGTCTCTACAACTTGAATCTTGAACAGAATGAAATGACAAAGACAGAAGGGTAGCATCCTGCCTCTCAGGGTTCTGTCTGCATAAACTGTTCCACTATGTGATTATTCTTATCTATCTTGCATCTTAGGCCTTAAAGTGGCCTGGATTCCCACCTGTTCCCAAGCTTGGCTCTTCAGACTTCCATCATTTCTCTGAAAATCTGACATCCTTCAAATAAATTTTCTTTGGCTGGAAATAACAAGGCTGCACGCAACTAAGAAATGCTGACTGATAGACCAGCCTTAGGGACACACTTCCACCTGACTTCCTCAGCCATTAGGACCTGGCCTCGGCAGCCTGAAGACCAAAGGAGAAAAATTCAGGGTGGAGCAATTGTGTGCTGTGGGGGTCTGTCCTGCAGACCCTGACTCAGTGACAGGTGAATAACATACACTGACACAGATATTATGCTTGTCAGTCTGGCTGAGAGTCCCAGCCACTTATAGACTCTAAGGAGACTGCTGTCAGTCATGGCCCCTGACTCACTGGCCCTCCTGGCATTTATTCAGCACACATTAGATGACAAACGTCTCAAGTAAACACCATTAGAGGGTAATCAACCTGGTTGCCTTCTCCCAGAGAGTGCCATCCTGCCTGCAAATGATCAGAGGTTAGTTTTAGAACCACATGAGTAAACAGGCTATTTAGGTAGACTCCTCTACATTCCTATGTTAATTACCCTTGCTATAGCTTAAAGAGGATTAGGCTGCCTTCAGCCAAACTATCTAAAGCTATGCAAAAACCTTTTGCCCTTCCAAGAAACTTTTGTGTTTTATTTTATAATTTTCTCCACCATCCTGACTGAACCCCTACGGCATACACTGCTTGACAGTCACTGAGGCCTGGGATCACGTAAAAGGAGAGTGGCCCTTACTCCTTAATTTGACAGAGTGGAGGAAGGAGCCATTCCCCTAAAGATGGGTAGATAAAACTGTACCTGCGAAGCTGGGACATCTCACCAAGATGCAGATTGATTCCGTGGGGCTGGGGCTGATCCCTTGTTGAGACTGATGCTGCTGGTGCCTGGTCCTCATTTCAGTAGCAAAGCCCTTGGGGGCATAAATAGGGAGATTGTGTAGGCTGAAGAGGGGGGCATTTAGGCAGTTTAGAACATCTTCGGTAATCAAAACAGCTGTTTCAGTAGCGTTACTGGGTTGAAAGCCCAATGACAGTGAGCTGAGGGAGTTGGAGGGAGGGAGGGCAGATGACGAGCAGTGGAGCACCTGAGAGCACAGCAACACCTGCCCTCCTTGGGGTGTCACAAGGATGTGTTTCTCAGGGGAGTTCTGGATAAATACATGCCAGTGTTTGCGGGAGGAGGACAGGTGCATGGAAGCCTGTCCCACTCGCACCTGCCCAGTCTTGCCTTCTGCTCCTCCCAGCACTCGCCATGCCGAGCCTCATGGGCTTCAGGTGGTGCGACCCCTCAACTTGCCCTCTCCTTTGCCCTTTGGGTACTCTTGGCCCCTTAGTGGCTTTCTGCACTTTTCTCCCCTCTCTTTCTCCATCCTGTGCAATGTTTTCTCATCTTTCCTGTCACCTCTGAGAACTGTTTGAGGTAAAATAGAAGACTAGGGCCGGGCGTGGTGGCTCACACCTCTAATCCCAGCACTTTGGGAGGCCAAGGTAGGTGGATCACTTGAGGTCAGGAGTTCAAGACCAGCCTGGCCAACATGGTGAAACCCTGTCTCTACTAAAAATACAAAAATTAGCTGAGTGTGATGGTACACACTTGTAATCCCAGTTACTTGGGAGGCTGAGGTGGGAGGATCACTTGAACCCGGGAGGCAGAGGTTGCAGTGGGCCAAGATCATGCCACTACACTCCAGCTGGAGGGGACAGAGTGAGACTCCATCTCAAAAAAGAAAAAAAGAAAAAAAGAAGATGGGACATGAGTCGGATTATGTCATTTCCCTGCTCAAAACCCTTCAATGGCTCTCATGTTACCCCAGTAAAAGCCCAAATCCTCCCAGTGGCTCCCAGGGCCTTCCGTGATCTGGCTACCCACTCCTCTCAGTCCTCCTCTTCCATCCTCCACCTCATTCTCAACACTGGGGCCACAGAAGATTCCTCACTTTTCCTCAAACACACTACACAGGCTCCCGACTTTGGTTCCTTACACTTCAGTACATAGTTGGTTCCATCTCTTTCTTCACATCTTTGCATGAAAGTCACCCTCTCCACATAATCTTGACCATGCATGTTCGCAGCAGCACTGTTCACAAGGGCCAAAAGGTGGAAGCAACTCAAGTGTCCATCAACAGGTGAATGGATACACAAAATGTGGTCTATCCATATGATGAAATGCTATCTGGCCATATAAAGGAATGAAGTCCTGATGCATACTACAACATGCATGAACGTTGAAAACATTATGTTAAGTTACAGAAGCCAGACACAAAGGACCACATATTGCAGGATTCCATTTATATAAAATGTCCAGAATTGACAGATCTAGAGACACAGACAATGGATCAGTGGTTGCCTAGGGTTGGAGGGAGGCAGGAATGGGGATTGACAGCTAATGGGTACAGAGTTTTTTTCAGGGTGATGAGAATGTTCTACAATTGATTGAGGTAATGGTTGCATAAATCTATGGGTATACTAAAAAACATGTAGTTGTATACTTGAAACAGGTGAATGGTATATGCTATGGTTTAAATATCCCCTCCAGAACTTATTTCGAAATTTAAAATGTAATTGCCATTGTGATGGTATTAAGAGGTGGGTGGGAGCTTTGAGAGGTGATTAGATCATGAGGGCCCTGCCTTCATGAATGAATTAATGCTGTTATTGCAAGACTGGGTTAGGGTTCCAAGGAGCCAGCTTCTGGTAAAAGGATAGGTTTAGCCCCCATTTTTATTGTCCTGCATGCACACGTGCACACCCTGTGGTACTGCAGCATGGAATACTGCTGCATGGAGCTTCTCACCAGAGGTCAGCACCATGCTCTTGGATGTTTCAGCCTCCAGAACTACAAGTCAAATAAGTCTCTTTTCTTTATAAATTACCCAGTCCATGGTACTCTCTGATAGCAGCAGAAAGTGGACTAAGACAGTTTAGTATTAGTCAGAGTTCTCTAGAGCTCAAAAATCAATAGAATATATACGCACACATATATGAAGAGATTTATTATAGGAATTGACTACTCAATTATGGAGTCCAAGAAGTCCCATGATCTGCTGTCTGCTATTAATAGCTAAAGACCCAGAAACGCTGATGGTGTAATTCAGTCTAAATCTGAAGGGCTGTGAATTAGGGAGCTAATAATGTGTATGAGTCCTGGCATGAGTCCAAAAACCTGAGAAGCAAGATCTCTGATGTCTCAGGGCCAGAGAAGATGATGTCTCAGCTCAAACCGGAAGAAAATGTTCCTTTTCTCCACATTTTTGTTCTTTCCAGGCCTTCAAAAGATGGGATGATGCCACTGGGATCGGTGAGGGTGATCTTCTTTACTGGATCTACCTATTCAAATGCTAATTAATCTCTTTCAGAAACACCCTCACTGACACACCAGAAATAATGCTTTAACAGCTGTCCAGATACCCTTTGCCCAGTCAAGTTGACATATAAAATTAATCATCACATATGTGTATTATATCCCAATAAAACTATTATGTCCCCCTCCACCCCGCAAAAGTCATCTTGTTGGATTTGCCCTCACCATTCTATTTAGATGGCAAGCACCTTCCTCACCCAGCCTTCTCAGTCCAGTGTGACTGCTCTATTTCTTCCCAATAACACTAACATAAGTTATGCCACTTACTTTTTAACAAACTATCCTTTTATGTTTCTTGTTTCTCTCTTCCACTACAATGTAAACTCAATGAGGGGAGGAATTATTTTCCTTTTTGTTTTTTTTTTTAATTGACTATAAAGGCTAGAACAGAGTCTGGCATTTTAGTACACTCTCAGTAAATATTTGTTTATAAATGAATGAATGGACAAGTGTGAGAGAAGTGCCGGGAAAGAAGCTTGCTGCTGAATTGCAACATAGCAAGTTGGAGGAAGTTGGAGGACACATTTGGCATCATAATTCTGCATCCAGTACCTCTCCTCTATACCTCTGTTTTCCACATTTGCCAGAGGTAGCTTCCTGCAGGAGCCCACAGGATCCCACGGGAGAGATGTGGCCACGAACTCCCATAAACCTGGAGGCACTGGACAGCACTAGGCAGCTTCCATCTGGAGACTGGCGTGTACCTAAAACGTGCGGTTCTGTGTTTTAAAAAAATTGTGGTAATATATACATAACATAAATTTACCATTTTAACAATTTTTAAGTGTACAGTTCAGTGGCATTAAGTACATTCACACTAATGTGCAACTATCACCACCAACCATCTCCAAAATTTTTCATCTTCCCAAACTAAAACCATACCCATTAAACAATAACTCCCCCTTCCTTTTCCCCCACCTGCTCATAACCATCATTCCACTTTCTGTCTCTATGAACTTAACTACTCTAGGTGCCTCATATGAGTAAAACATACAGTATTTGTCCTTCTATGACTGGCCTATTTCACTTAGCATAATGTCCTTAGGGTTCATCCTTGGTGAGCATGTGTCAGAATTTCTTCCCTTTTTAAGACTGAATAATATTCCATGATATGGATATACCAAATTTTGTTTATCCATTCATCCACTGATAGCCATTTGGATTGCTTCCACCTTTTGGCTATTGTGGATAATGCTGCCATGAACATGGACATCCAAATATCTGTTGGAGATCTTGCTTTCATTATTTTGGGTATATAACCAGAAATGGAATTGCTGGATCATACAGTAACTCCAGGTGTAACTTTTTGAGAAATCGCCATCTGTTTTCCACATGGGTCTGCTCTTTGCATTCTGTGAATTTAAGGATCCTGCTCCAGCCCCTGAGCCCATGTCCACATCAAGAGGAACTTCCTTGTCTTGAGACTCCACACAGGGCTGGTGCTGTGCCTGGTGCTCTGTGCCCATCATCCAGGAGGTAAGTATTCTCATAGCCCCTTTAAAAGAGAGAGGAGGCCAGGTGTGGTGGCTCATGCCTATAATCCCAGCACTTTGGGAGGCTGAGGCAGGGAGATCATTTGAGGTTCTTGAGTTCAAGACCAGTCTGGCCAACATGGTGAAACCCTGTCTCTACTAAAAATACAAAAATTAGCTGGGTGTGGTGACAGGCGCCTGTAATCTCAGCTACTCAGGAGGCTGGGGCAGAAGAATCGCTTGAACCCGGGAGGCGGAGGTTGCAGTGAGCCAGATCACGCAACTGCACTCTAGCCTGGGTGACAGAGTGAGACTCCGTCTCAAAAAAATAAAAAGAGAGGGGAGACTGAGGCCCAGGAAGTTTGTGAGGCCACCCTGGTTCACGAAGCTAGTGGGCAGCAGAGCTGGGATTTGAGTGTAGTTCTCTCTGACTCCAAGTCCTAACTCCCATACCAGCAGTGCCTGGTGGCCTCCTGCAGGTCTAATGGAGTCCATAGATGCATTTTACTTGATCATCATATTTTAAAAATGTATTAGTTTCTATGCGAAATGATATTGTTCCCAACTATTCAGGGCCCCACTCTGTGGGAGACATACACGTCCCTCACTGTGGACATCAGATCTGGCTATGCGCTTTGCTTCGGCTCATCCAGAGTGAAGAAATCACAGAAGCTCACAGTTACCGGCACGTGGTTCAGCCATTGCTCCTTTGCTTTTGCTACAAGAATGGCATGTCCTGGATGAGGAGTACAGATGAAGAATGAGCTCTGTGGGTTTAGGCCACCTAGACAGGAGGGAGGAACTCAGGACACCAAATCCAGGTCCTCTGCCACCTTCCCCTGCACCCTAGGTTATATGCAGTGGCTGAGGGTGGGGAAACTGACTATAGAGACCCTCCATCGGGCGCTCAGCATGGATCTTCCTCAGCTGTTGTTATTTCAGATCCCTGACTTCAGCACCAGCTCCTCTTTATCCGGAGTTCCAGCAGGATCTGAGGGCTGAGAGAGGTAAATAAAATTCTGAGAAACATCTGAAGCCGGTTCCTGGGGCTCCACTCAAGGCCCCTTAATGCTGCCATTCCCCGCATACCTCACCACCCCCCAGCTCCCTTCACTGCACACTGCTCTGCAGAGGAAGGTCATCAGTGTCTGGGATGAAGAGCATTGCAAAGGTCATCAGTGTCTGGGTTGCAGAGCGTTGCCTGGCGCAAGGTAAAGAAACTTATCTTGTTCAACAACAGGATCTTGGGCTTCACTGCCTCAGAGAATATGCTGGCAGCTCCCTGCCCCGACTGGAGAGAGGAGGACACTGCCTTCCCTCCCCTGCAGCCTCTGGAGAAGCTGCGGGGTGACGTGCTAGTCCTGTTTCTCTGAATTTTCAGGGGGGATTAGAGGATCCCTTATAACTCAGTCTCCAGCCTCAAGTTGTGGTCAGGTGGCAGGAGTCCACCTTTCAGGACCTGCCCGGGGAAGTCTGGCTGCCTCCTCAGGTGTGAGAGTTGCTGGAAGCCCCACTTCCTCTGCAGACCCCAGATGAAGAAATTAGGCTTTTCGAGGAGGGGCTGAGAGCTCGAGTCAGTCTAGCTTTGCCTAAGGCCTTAGGAATGCGAGCTATTTATGGTCCCATGGCCCCCACCCCCTTTTGTGCCCTGCAAGTTAAGTCACACAATTTCCTTCTTTTTCTTTTTTTGGCTCATGCCCATTTTCTATACAGTAAGAACCCTGATAAACTGTGCGAGTAACATAAGATCCAATTCACAGGACTTAAACCCGCAGGACTTACTGTTCTAACATAACAAGGAGCCTAGAAGTCCACAGTTCTAGGATGATTTTAGTAACTCAACAGTGTAATGAAATTCCCAGGTTTTTTCTTTCTTTCCTCTCAATTATCCTTGGTATACAGTTTTTCATCCTCATGCTTGTGGCTTAGTAGTTGCAAGAGGGCTGCCACAGCCCCTGTCATCACGTCCATTTTCAAGTCAGGAAGAATAAAGGAAAGGGAGGCACCAGCCACGTTTTCTCCTTTTAACAGAAAAGCAAGGCTTAGAGAGGCCTCCTGCAGAATTTCCCTTATTTGCCTGTGTTAGTTTCTTACTGCTGCTGTAACAAATTGTAACAAACTTATTGGCTCAAAACAATCCAAATGTATTATCTTCTAGTTCTGGAGGTCAACATCCCAAACGGGTTTTACAGGGCTAATATCAAGGTGTCAGCTGACGATGTTCCTTCTAGAGGCTCTAGGGAGGAGAATCCATTTGCTTGCCTTTTCCAGCTTTTTTTTTTTTTTTTTTTTTTTGAGATGAAGTCTCTCACTGTCGCCTGGGCTGGAGTGCAATGGTGCGATCTCGGCTCACTGCAACCTCTGCCTCCCAGGTTCAAGCAATTCTCCTGCCTCAGCCTTCTGAGTAGCTGGGATTACAGGTGTGTGCCACCACACCCAGCTAATTTTTTTCTGTTTTTAGTAGAGACGGGGTTTCACCATATTGGCCAGGCTGGTCTTGAACTTCTGACCTTGTGATCCGCCTGCCTCAGCCTCCCAAACTGCTAGGATTACAAGGTGTGAGCCACCAGGCCCAGCCTCCTTTTCTAGCTTTTAGAGGCTTCCTGCATTCCTTGGCTCATGACCCCTTCCATCTCCGAAGCCATCAATGGCTGGTTGAGCCTTCCCCATGCTGCATCTCTCTGACACCGTCTCTTCCGCCTCTCTCTTCAATATTTCAGGACCTTTGTGATTATACTGGGCCCACCAGGATAATCTCCCTATTTTCCTTTTGGCTGATTAGCAAACTTAATTCCATCTACAACCTTAATTCCTCCTTGCTATGTAACTAACATAGTCTTAGGTTCTGAAGATTAGGATGCAGACATCCTGGGGATGCCATTATTTTGTCTGCCAGTGTCCTGGGCCAAACCAGACCTCATCGCCACCACCAGCTGCAACGGAGCTTGGTAAATCAAGTAGCTGGTGAAAGGGAGCAAGCTAGTCATGATTAGCTTAGACAAGTAATGTTTCATCATCTGAATCTGTCACTGTTACTCAAATCAAATCAAGGTTTTATTAGCAAGAAAAAGGTGTGAAGGAATGGCTTATTGGGTTGGCCGCTAACTGCTGACCACAGCAAGGTATAGCTGACTTCTTGTTCTTCCCTAGTCACATGTCACATTTGTGTTTTGTACTGAGATGGGATGGAAATTGCTCATGTGAATGTTCTCAGCCTGGGCCCACACCCTGAGCGATCCAGAGGGCTCTAGCTTTGCCAGCCAGAGTTTTCATTCTCTCGCCTTTTCCTGACCCCCAGCTCTTCAAAGAAAGAATCTGCCCAGACAATATGGTTTTCTTGGTTTTTTGTAAAGGGCAAAAAGGAGCAAATTAGACAGATGGGGGAATTAGGGAAGAAATTATGTCAACGTATATAATAAAAATCTTATGGAATGAGGGGGAAAGAGAATAAGAATAGAATTAGGAAGATTTGGAGGTAATGGGGGAGTTTTCCCAAGGGTTTTGAAACTACTTTGGGTTGCACAGTTAACTGTGACTACACTCTGGAACTCAATCAAATGGTAGATTCAACATAAGTTATTACAAGTAACTGGCCCGCCCCATCCCCTTCCCCTGAGGCTAACTTGCTGGTCAGTGGTGCTGGTCAGTGGTGCCTGGCAAATAGTAAACACTGGCTTCAGAGTCTCATCTGTAAAATAAGTATTTTGACAAGAAGATCTCCAAGTTCCCATCCTGCTCTGATCATTTACAGTCCTGTGATTACTATGTGAAGTGCAGGTCAAGCTACTTTTTGTATTTGGAAATTTAAGGTGTCGGAGATTCCAGAATTGGCTGGCTGGAATTCTCAGAAAAACTAGCTCCCTAGAAATAAGCTGGGCTGATTTCTGAGTGCAGGCTTCTAAGGATTTTACCACCTCTGGCTTACAGGGGGGTTACTTTCTTGTGTTCTAAAAGATGGACTCAACATAAAGAATACATAATTTGGAACTTTAGCACTCATGATTGCTTACCTCCTCTTGGCTTCAGTTTTCTCAAATGCAAATCGTCTCAGTAATACCCATTGTTGGGTGTTTATGTGAGTATAAAAGATACACATATGTAGGGCATGTGGCACACAGTAGGCACTCAATGAAGACTAGCTATTATTATGCCCACTAAGAAAGGAATTCTTGGCTGGGCACAATGGCTTATGCCTGTAATCCCAGCCCTTTGGGACGCTGAGGCGGGTGGATTACCTGAGGTCAGGAGTTCGAGACCGGCGTGACCAACAGGCAAAACCCCATCTCTACTAAAAATACAAAAATTAGCCGAGTGTGGTAGCATGCACCTGTAATCCCAGCTACTTGAGAGGCTGAGGCAGGAGAATCTCTTGAACCCAGAAGGCAGAGGTTGCAGTGAGCCAAGATCACACCACCGCAGTCCAGCCTGGGTGACAGAGCAAGACCCTGTATTCCAAAAAAAAAAAAAAAAAGAAAAAGAAAAAAAGGAATTTTTTATTCCCCTGCCCCACAAAAAAGAAAGATGAAACTCGATGGTCTGTGATCAAAGGGGGAAAATATAGCTGTCTTTAGGACAGTAACAACAACAACACAATTATCAAAAGCAACATCTTGAAATTTTTAGTTACAGATCTCAAAGCATTTCTTTTCTTTTCTGTTCTATACTTTGCACACCCAAGTTGGCTGGTCACCCCTGCATCTGATTACTAGCATACAGGGTCTATAGAATAGCATACCTATTAATTAGACAGGGGAATACATGTTTGCATGTCCCCTTTTGAAACATGGTGTAAGATTCTCCTACTCTGTATGACCAGGACCCTGTAAACATCACATGTGACTAGAGAAGCTGTTTCTGCAAATTTGTTGGCAAATTTGCATGATTCTTCGTTTCATCCCAAGATCACTCAGCCCTACACTGTCCAATACAGTAGCCACTAGCATACATGAATTAAAATTAAGTGAAATGAAAAATTCATTATCTCGGTGGCATATGTCACATTTCAGCTGCTGCATAGCTCCATGTGACTAGTGACTGCCACACTGAACACAGCCTAGAACATTTCCACCATCACAGAAAGTTCTATTGCACAGCGCTGCCTCAGACTGCTTCACTTAGCTTTTAATAAAAATAAACCTTAAAAAGAAATCAGTCTGGCAGCTGAAGTACTAGTCCTGATAAAAGGGCCATCTGCCACTCTGGCAAGGACCATTTTCCCAACAACCTATTGCATGGGAACAGAGCCAGCCTGGTGACCCACAGGTGGGAGAGATTTTGTGAAGCCCATCTCCCTGGGCCCACAAGGGCTCCACTGGGAATTGCTTTTCAGTCCAAGTGAAGTGCTGGCAGCTTCTTGACTGATAGTTTAACTAGTCACTGTTCCCAGTTGGAGACTCAAAAGAGTGATCTCTCAGATCCAGGCTTTAAAAGGCCCCTTCAGCACTTAGTCCTGGAGCAATTAAGCGTTGCTGGCTTTCCTCGTAGCCTTCCCAGGCTACAGATAAGCTGATAGGCATGTCTTCACCACCTTTTCTGCCCGTCGAAACCACCCCAGCTCTTCTTCAGTTTCTCAAATGCCACCTTCTTTCAGGACCTCCCTGACTCCCTATGACGCCCGTCTTAGCACTTTCTTTTCTTTTTTTTTTTTTTTTTTGAGATGGAGTCTGACTCTGTCACCAATGCTGGAGTACAGTGTCGCAATCTCGGCTCACTGCAACCTCCGCCTCCTGGGTTCAAGCGATTCTCCTGCCTCAGCCTCCTGAGTAGCTGGGATTACAGGCATGCACCACCACGCCTGGCTAATTTTTGTATGTTCAGTAGAGATGGGGTTTCACCATGTTGGTCAGGCTGGTCCCAAACTCCTGACCTTGTGATCCGCCCACCTCAGCCTCCCAAAGTGCTGGGATTACAGGCGTGAGCCACTGCGCCCGACTCGTCTTAGCACTTTCTTCGCAAATCTCCAAGAGTCTTTTGGTGCCTCTAGGTGTCTGTGGACTTTCTCCTCTTCCCTATTAGAGAGTAAACTCCTCAGAGGGCAAGGCCCATGTTTTGCACCCAGCCCAGCGTGGGGTACTGTGGCTTCACATGACAGATGTTAATTAGCAGAACTTGATCCTTGTAAACCCCACATGGTCCAGGTCCACCCTGAAGCATTCTGTGGGAGGGCTCAGCCCCACACACTTTTCACAGAGAAACCCTGATGGTGGCTTCTGTGCCTGCCACTCACCACAGCTCATTCAGCCATCTGCCTGGGCTCCCGCCTCAGGAGGGGCACAGTGGGAACGACAGGCCCAGGCGGCCAAGGCTCAAACTTCCCTCTGCCCCTAACTTGCTGGGTGGCATTAGGAACATTATTTCACATCTCTGCAAAATGGAGACATAAATAGTATAAATCCCCTGGAGTTGCTGTAGGAAAGAAGCAAAATAACATACATAAAATGCCTGGCAAATAGTAAACGGTAAATCATAATTATTGCATTATTATTATCATTCTCAGCAACAACCTAATTGTTCTGGGAAGTAGCTTTGTGGCTTCATTCACGCCCATATTCCTGCCTTTGACCTTCAGTTCCCTGGTCTTTGTAAGCATCTATCACACTAAGCATCTCCCAGCACTGCTTGTCCTGGCCTCCTGCAGCCCCGCCGTGGGCACCTACCTGCCTCCCAGGTGTGTGGGCCCCAAGACACCAACTCAACTGGATAACTGTGTCTTCCTCAGGCGGAGGACGCTCAATAAGTTTCAGCTTGCTGGAATTACTGTTCTCAGAAAAACTTGCTCCCTAGAAATGTGCTGGGCTGATTTCCAAGTGTGGGCTTCCAGGGACTCCACCACTTGCAGCCTAAACAGGGTGTGTTTACGAGAGGAAGGGAAAGGGTGTTGGAAAATCAGAGGAGAGAGCCTTCTGAGAGTATCATGTATCACTTGGAATAACAAAACAAAAGGCATAAGCCAATTATAAGAGCTTTCACTAAAATGGCATTTTGGAAAAAAGAATTTGGGACCCATGAAAGCATCAGTGATCAAAGACCAATGGTTTACAATGTTGGCAAGTGTGCAGTGTAACAGGTATCCTTCTAATGATGGTCTTCCAAAATATGGAAAGAAATTTAACAATATTTATGAAAATGTTCCTATACTTCATACTAGAAAGACACTTCTAGAAATATAGCTCAATGATATCAGAGATATAGGATAAAAATTTAGATATAAGAATATGAGTGGCAGCATTTGTTTATGAAAAGGAAAGTTTGGAAACAGTCTAAATAAATGCCCTGAAATGTAGAAATGCTTTTTGCAAGAGTAGAGATCTATTATTAACTCAATGGAATATATTGAAACATTGAAAATATTGGGTTTAAAAGGTTTAATGATGGGAAAATTAATACAATATAATGGGAAGTGAAATGAGCAGAATGTAAATTCCTTTTAGGGGTTAGCAGAAGATGGAGTTGTATTGAATAAGAGTCATTGACTTCTTAATGGAAAGTGGAAGATGGAGTTAGAGCACTGCGTTCACTGAGCATCTGGATGCTTGGACCCAGGGGATTTCAAGGGATGCCTTGATTTGGGATGGCAAGCTAGGACACACAGACAGCACAGAACAAGGAGCAGACAGGATATTCACTTCCTGGTTGCGTCATCTAGTCGGCATCAGCTGTTCCCTGGCAAGACCAAAGCCAAGGGCAGGCGGTGGAGGGGGTTTGCTGCTGTACTCCACTTGTGTGACTCCCGGGCTTTCCTTTGGGATCTCATGCGGCTGCTCTTCACCTTGGCGTTCACCATGATACCGGAGCCAGCGTCCCTTGAAATGATGTTCAGCTTCATGAATGGCTGACTCAGTGTCCCCTTGGATCACTTTAAGTAAAATTGTATTTTCTTTGTTGTTATCAAAACTCCAGTTTTGTTCAGGTATCTGCCCCCCTGCAGACCCAGCCCCAGCTCAGGAGGTGGGAGGTGGTCAGGGTAAGTGCATCAGAGCGTGGTCTTCCCTGGTAGCCGTTATTGGTCTAGGGGTAAGCACGTGACCTAAATGGAGGCGGCAGGGGAAGTCCGCGATGCACGTGTGACCATGCGGGGGACTAGCCTGAGGATGAAACTAAGGCACAGTGAGGGGGTGAACGAACCCGGGACCTCAGAGGTCTCGCTGAGCTGCCGTCTTACAACACTTAGGGGCCACCGTCCTGTGGACTTTCAGTTGGGCTAGGAACGTCACTTTTCTCATTAACATAGTTTGTATTTTAAACTTCTTAGCTGATACCAGTGGGGAAGCCAGGAGGAATGACAAACTTGAAGTCATGGAATTGGATTGCAGCCCTGATTTACCACCAACTACACATGACCTTGAGAAATCTCTTAACATCTCTGAGCCTCTGGTGAGTCTTCTGTGAAACGGGAGTGTTGGGCTAGATGCTCTCCTAGGTTCCTTTCAGTGCAAAGGTTCCATGACTCTTCATCTCTAAAACAGCAACTTATCAACATTTTCTAATTTCTTTACCAAAAACAATCTCTTTGTACACAGAGCATACAAAATCCACTTGCTTTGATTTAAAACAAAAGCAAGCACTTATTGACCCAGTTTTCAGCTCTGATATTCCCCTGGAGCTGCTCCTGGGTACATAGGCATTCTGGAAGGCATTACATGCACCACCTTTATGCCTGCCTGCGAGCCTTCCGGCCTCTCCTGTGCTCTGGGGCTGTCTGAGAATCGGCCCCATCCTTTCAGCCACAGAACCCTCACATGAAGAGAAAATGGACAACTAACCCCACAGACATCACCATCATGTGCAAGCTGGCATGTAAGGCCCTGACGTCTACTCTGGCCCTGCCTGAGCCTTACTGAGCTCCAACCTCACACCGTCCTGTGAGGAGGGATGCCTGGATCACTTCCAGGTTATTCATCCATGTTCTTCACAGTCTGAAGTGAGTGTCATCTTTAACAGCTTAGCAGTGACAAACACATTCACCTCTAATAATGAAGAGAAATGATTTGGGTGCATAATTCCATTTCACTGTGCATTTCCTTTCCTTTAAAAACTGCCTCCTTTGCCATGAGCAGGTCTAAATACCCTGTAGTGTGAAATGCCAACTCGAATTTCTAACTACAAAATTCATGCATGTTAGAATTGAGAAAATACAGATAATCACGAAGAAAGAAAAAGCAAGATCATTTATATTATCTTATTACCCAGAGATAGCCACAGGGGCCCTGGAGTGTATTCTTCCAGCCATTCGTGTGTGTGTGTGTGTGTGTGGTGTGCATCTGAGTTTTAACTAAAAAAGGACCACCCCTTGTTAAGGAACAAAGCAAATTGCTAACGTATAAAGGTATGTAAGGTATATATCTTTATCCCTTAATGGTGTAAAAAAAATGGTGATTATCTTTCCCAATACATTAACACCCACCTTCAGCATCATTTTCATGACTTCAAAGTAGTACACCCACACACAAATCACTTATTTAACCAAATTCCTAGTGTTAGACATCTAGATCCTTCCCATGTCTCCAAAAAGCATGGTGTTCCCTAAAGCAACATCACCAGACCACCCAAGTAAACCACTTGCTGTCTCCTACCTGGATTCCTGGACCTCCTTCATGGGTGATCCCCCTTGCTTCCTGCCACCAGCCCAACTCCAATGGGGACTTCTTTTGGTCACTCCGAGCCTCACTTGTATCAGAACTTCTGGTGCCATAGCTCATGTTGGGTCAACTTCCAACTCACCTCATGAACTTCCACCAGCTTTGTATGAAAAGTCAGTCCCAAGGATGCAGTGCTGTGCTGGTGGACAGGATTCTCTTAATCCAAACCCACTGAAAGGTCAAGAATGAGGGTCCAGAGGTTGGGGCTCTGCATCTCCCTTGCTCACCCTCCAGGAACAGGAGTCCTGCCCTAGAATCCAAGCTGTGACTGGTGCCCAGCCTCTAGCATGCCAAGTGCCCCTGTGCAGCATGTTACTAAAGCCTTGGAATAACACCACGAGGTACATTCATTATTATCTTCCTTTTACATGGAGGGAACCCAACACAGAGGGGATAGGTGACTTGTCACGGTCTAGTGGCTTGGGAGATCTGGAATTTATACTGAGGTCTGTCTGACCCCGTCTGCCTTTGCTTTATTAGATAATTAACCAGTATTACCTGCCAAGGCCTCCTCATGAGGCCCGCAGCCAGGCTGTGTAGGAACAAACATGACCACTGAGCTTCAAGCACATACCATTCCTCCTTCTTCCCACGTCTACCTTGCGTGTGTTAGGATAACTGTGAAACTGCTGTTAAAAACAAAGTCCTAAAGATGGGCCAGGTGTGGTGACTCATGCCTGCAATCCCAGCACTTTGGGAGGTCAAGGCAAGAGGATTGCTTGAGGCCAGGAGCTCAAGACCAGCCTGGGTGACATATCAAGACTCCGTCTCTACAAAAAAAAAAAAAAAAAAAAAAAAAATTAAGTTAGCTGGGTGCAGTGGCATGTGCCTGCAGTCCTAGCAGCTCTGGAGGCTGAGACAGGAGGATCTCTTGAGCCCAGAAGTTCAAGATTACAGTGAGCCATGATCACTGCACTTCACACCGGTTGACAGAGTGAGACACTGTCTCAAAAAAAAAAAAAAATCCTAAAAATGCAAAATGCGATGGCTCTCTGCCACTGCACTGAATGGCTAAAATTGAAAAGGATTTTTGTTAGCAAGGATGTGGAGCAAATGGCACACCCACACATGCTGACAGGAATGTTTGGAAAACTGTATCACAGTTTCTAATTAAGTTTAATATGCTTCTCAGCTGTGACCCAACAGTTCTACTCTCAGGTATCTATCCAAGAGAGATTAAAAAAAAAGTAAGTCAGACTGGGCGCGGTGGCTCATGCCTGTAATCCCGGCACTTTGGGAGGCCAAGATGGGCGGATCACAAGGTCAGGAGTTCGAGACCAGCCTGGCCAATATGGTGAAACCCCGTCTCTACTGAAAATACAAATATTAGCTGGGCTTGGTGGCCGGCGCTGTAGTCCCAGCTACTCGGGAGGCTAAGGCAGGAGAATCGCTTGAACCCGGGAGGCGGAGGTTGCAGTGAGCCAAGATCACGCCACTGCACTGCAGCCTGGGTGACAGAGTGAGACTCCGTTTCAAAAAAAAAGAAAAAAAAAGTCTACAAAAAGAATTGTTTAAAGCCTGCTTGTAGCCACTTTATTCGTAAGAGCCAAGAAGAAGAAACAATCCAGATGTCCATCAATAAGAGAATGGATAAACAATTTTTGGTATATTCATACATGGGAATTTTACTCAGCAATAAACAAGAAAATTCCTGAAAACATTTAACAACATGGTTCAGTCTCAAAAACATTATGTTGAATGAGAGAAGCCAGATACAGAAGAGTTCGTACTCTGTGGTTCCATTTATATGAAGTTCAAAAATCGGCAAAACTAAGTTGAGAGAAATCAGAACAGTGTTTACCTGGGGGTGGGGACAGAGGTAGGGATGGCCTAGAAAGGGTAATGAGAGAACTTACAGGGAAGATGGGAGTATTTTATGTAGTGTTTAGGCTGGTGGTTATAGGGGTGTATACTTTTGCTAAAATCCACCAAACTGTACACTTAAGATTTGTGTATTTCACCATGTGTAAATGATATCTCAATGTTAGCATTATAAAATGCAAGGACTCAAACAAGGGAGTTTATTTCTCTCCCACAAATCAGTCCAAGATGGATAGGTGAGCTCTACTCCATAGAGTCATCTATGGTAGCAGATGGTTTTGCCATGTACAGGTCATTATCATCATCTGCATGGTCAAAGATGGGCCATCAAGGCCTGGCTCCAGTCAGTCCAAAGGAGAAAGAAGCTCAAGGGAGAAGCACTGAGCAATGTTTCCTGAGCCATGCCTGGAAGTGACACCCACAACTTCCTCCAATACAGTTGGTTAGAACTTGGTCATATGGCCACAGCTCTCCACAGGAAGGCTAGGAATTGTAGCCCTAATATTAGAGAAGGTTGAAATGGGTTTTGGTGAACAGCTGGCAGTGTCTGCCCCATTTGGTCTCATGATGATTAGAAAACTCTTGGACCTGTCTGGGGGCAGTGGCTCATACCTGTAATCTCAGCACTTTGGGAGGCCAAGGCGGGTGGATCATGAGGTCAGGAGTTCGAGACCAGCCTGACCAACGTGATGAAACCCCGTCTCTACTAAAAATACAAAAATTAGCCAGGCATGGTGGCACGTGCCTGTAATCCCAGTTACTCAGGAGGCTGAGGCAGGAGAATCACTTGAACCCGGGAGGCGGAGGTTGCAGTGAGCGGAGATCGCGCCACTGCACTCCAGCCTGGGTGACACAGCAAGACTCTGCCTCAAAAAAGAAAACTCTTGGACCTCTGGCCTTCTCCTCGTTTCCCACTTCAGGACCCTGGCCAAGTTCTTTGCATAACAGAGGAGGCACCATGAACTTCAAACTAAAGCCCAGCCCTTGCCAACCACACTGGTGGAATCCCTCAGTGCTGTAACTTATAGAACAGTGTTCCACCTGAAGAAACAGTGGTGTTTGCAACCACGTGACAAACACTTAGGTATAGTGCACCAATTATCACGAGTTCCCTGGGCAGACAGCAGGGCTTCTTCTCCATTGTTTAGACTGAAACAGGAGACAAAGGATAGGGGATGGACTGACCCACCTCAGGATCACATTATGGTGAGTTTTGGTCTGGAGACAAGGCCATTTCTCAGAGTAGTGACACAAGTTGGACAATGCCAGCCCTAAGCTGAGTCAACTCTTTAATGGGATCAAACTTCCTATTCAATTAGGTTACTACTGGGAGGTTCCAAGGAAAACCGGGAGGGGAGTGAGCATTGTTTAACAACTGCCACAAATTAAGTCCAGGGAATTTCAGATAGAGAGTCCAGTTCTCACAACAAACCTGTAAAAAGTGGGGTCTTCATAGGGTGTACACCAGGAGTGAACTCCAGTGTGAACCATAGACTTTGGGTGATAATGGTGTGCCAGTGTAGGTCCATCAATTTTAACATATGTACCAGTCTGGTGGGGGATGTGGATAATGGGGGAGGCTTGTATGGATGAGGGTAAGAGGATAGGGGAACTCTCTGCACTTTCCTCTCACTTTTGCAGTGAACCTAAAACTACTCTAAAAAACAAAGTCTATTAAAAAACAGTGGGGCCTTCATCCCTTTCAGAGAGGAAAACTGACACTTGCCCAGGATACTCTCAACTACTGTTTCCCCATTGGGTCAAAAGGGCCTGGGAGGCCAGCGGCAGTGGCTCATGCCTGTAATCCTGGCACTTTGGGAAGCCTAAGCGGGCAGATTGTTTGAGCCCAGGAGTTCGAGAGCAGCTTGGGCAACATAGTGAGACCCCATCTCTACAAAAAAATTTAAAATTAGCTGGATGTGATGGTGCGTGACTATAGTCCCAGCTACCTCGGAGGCTAAGGCAAGAGGATCACTTGAGCCTGGGAGGTCAAGACTGCAGTAAGCTGTGTTTTCACTGTGCTCCAGCCTGGGCAAAAGAGCAAGAGGCCCTGTCTGGGGAAAAAAAAAAAAAAGGGCTTGGGAGCGGGAGTTAACTCAAGCCCTCCACACTTCTCTCTTCCAAGCCACCTCATTCAATTAGCAGGTGAGAAGAAAGCTGGCAGGCCAAGCTGGGAAGCCAAGAAAAGGCTGTTTCTAGTTCCAGTGAATTTCAATCCCTGTGCATCCTGTGGACTGAGGCTCCAATGCTTCCAAAACTCAAAGCACCTGCCAAAGCCAGCAGGTAGGTGATTCCCCTCAACACAGCTGACTCATCAAGCAAACTTCCGAAAGTCCAGGCAGAGCCGGAGGCTGAGGAGAGTATTTGCACATACTATTTTCCTTATGCCTGTATTTTACTCTAATTACTTTTGATTGATCCATTGATTCTTTTTTTCTTTTTGAGATGGAGTCTCGCTCTGTCACCCAGGCTGGAGTTCAGTGGCACAATCTTGGCTCACTACAACCTTCACCTCCTGGGCTCAGACAATTCTCTGCCTCAGCCTCCTGAATAGCTGGGATTACATGCTCCTGCCACCATGCCTGGCTAATTTTTGTATTTTTAGTAGAGACGGGGTTTCACCATCTTGGCCAGGCTGGTCTTGAACTCCTGACTTTGTGATCCACCAACCTCGCCCTCCCAAAGTGCTGGGATTATAGGCGTGAGCCACCGGGCCCGGCCTGATTCATTCTTTTATTCCTTCAGTACAATTTTACTGAATTCTCCCTCCAGGGCAGATCTAACTTTTGTGGGGGCCTGATACTTATTTGAGAAACTTCTGTAAAAGAAATTATGGCTGGGGGTGATGGCTTATGCCTGTAATCCCAGCACATTGGGAGGCTGAAAAGGGAGGATTGCTTGAGCCTAGGAGTTCAAGACTGGCCTGGGCAACATAGTGAGACCCCCATCTCTAAAAAAATACAAAAATTGGGCCAGGCGTGGGTGGTGTCAGCTGATCCATCCAGTGCAGGGTCTGCAAAATATCTCAAGCACTGATCTTAGGTTTTACAATAGTGAGGTTATCCTCAGGAGCAATTTGGGGAGGTTCAGACTCTTGCAGCCAGAGGCTGCATGACCCCTAAACTGTAATTTCTAATCTTGTAGCTAGTTTGTTCATCCTGTAAAGGCAGACTTGTCCCCAGACAAGAAGGGGGTCTTTTAGGGAAAGGGCTATTATCAATATTGTTTCAGAGTCAAACCGTGAACTAAATTCCTTCACAAGATTAGTTCGTCCTCTGCCCAGGAATGAACAAGGACAGCTTAAAGGTTAGAAGCAAGATGGAGTTGGTTGGGTCTGATCTCTTTCACTGTCATAATTTCCTCAGTTATAATTTTTGCAAAGGCGGTTTCATCCTTGCCAAGACTTCACTTGAAAATGAGTCTATCTCCCCCATGACTGATGAATTCATGGCACTTTTGTTGGGCTTTCTCCTCAATGAGATGATAAGAAAGTTTGAGGACTACGGAAAGGACAAAAGCATCTGTGGTACCACCAACCTGATTCCTCCTTGTCCTTGTCGTGTTTGGTCTCAGTCATTGTTCACAACAGGCAGCCCAGGGCTCTCGGCTCCAAGCGTCTGCCTGTGCATTAGCCATTGCTGCCCACCCCCAGGCCCTCCACTGTAGTACCCAAACCCCAAAACTGCCTACACGGCAAGGGCAGAGCCAGGCTGGGGAGATGGAATGCTACTCCGGGTCTGAGTGTGTCTGAAAAGACTGCAGGGCTTATTCACCAGAAGCATCAGAAGTAAAAGAAGTACTGAATGGAAAGGAGCTGACTACTGGGAGAGGCCCAGGCCTGGCCGGAAGGACCAGCGATGAGGGGTGGATTGCCCCAGGACTCCAAAGTTGCACATAGGTGGCAGCCCACCTTGGACGGTCCTCAGAGTTGGTACAGGAAGCAGAGACCCAAACCCTACCTGTAGGCCTGCAGTTCTCCTATTTCCTCTGGCCAGATCTGCATCTCATTTCTCAGGTCTCCTATCTTTTTTCATTACGGGCCAGGTCATGGCAATTTCCAGAATTTAGTCCTCCCTCTGATACTTCGGTTGTGGTTGCCGATGGCATGCCCAGGTGGGAGAGGGAGGCCAGGTGGCAGGTGCTGGTGCTGTTAGCAGTGCTGACCTGCCGTCTTGCTCCAGGGCTGCTGGAGGCCTGGCAGAGATGCTCAGGAAACTCTTGACTCAGCTCATGTGTGTGCCGTGGTCCTACTTGGGGATGAACGCAAGGGAGCCTGGACAAATTCCCATTGATGTAGTTGCTCACTGCATATGGCATGTGTGTCTAGGAACACACGCGCACACACACACACACACACACACACACACACTTTCTTTTGTAAAAGAATAATACAAAGCTACATGGCTATATGTATATGCATATATATAGACATAGATATCATATGTTTATAATGCTTTATAGTTTACAAGCAGTAGGAATTGTGTGGGCACAGTGTCTTCTCTCTTCCTGCAACCCGGATACATTTTGCTTAGTTTGAGATTAATAAATAGGAAGAGAGAGGCAGACAGATGATGCTTTCTAGTGAAATGAGCAGAGTTAGAAGTAAAATAGCCACGTGACTTTGGGCAAGTTATTCAAGGCTGCAGCTTTCTTCTCTATAAGATGGGATAATATATTATCTACTTGAGCATACCTAGTGCCCAGATCTTGGTTTCTAGTACTGTTCTCCAATAAAAGGAACTAGGATCCTTGGGAGAAATAGCTGATTCTAGGGCTGGGGCAGAATGGAAGATAAGCCTGGAAAGCTAAAAATAAATAAATAAATAAATAAAAAAGCAAGTTGGTATCATAGAAGTGAAGAGTAAAAAAGTGGTTACTAGAGGCTGGTAAGGGTAAGGGGGAGGAGGAGAGACACAGAGGTTGGTTAAAGGACACAAAATTACCCTAGATAGGACTAAGTTTTAATGTCCTATAGCACTAGAGTTACTATAATAAAAATAATTTATTATATATTTTCAAATAGCTAGAAGAGAGGACTTTGAATGTTCCCAACACACAAAGCAATGATAAGTGTTTGAGGTGATGGATTTGCTAATTACTCTGATTTGATCATTATACATTTACACATGTACTGAAATATCACACTGCACCCCATACATATGTATAATTATGTGTCAATTAAAAATAATAGAC
Source organism: Homo sapiens (assembly GCF_000001405.40). Classification (NCBI taxonomy): domain Eukaryota; kingdom Metazoa; phylum Chordata; class Mammalia; order Primates; family Hominidae; genus Homo; species Homo sapiens. Next base: position 71,172,801 of record NC_000014.9, on the reverse strand, counting down.
AAAGAAATAAATCAATCAAAGATGAGCCTGGTGCATCTTGGAGTATCAGAAAGTAAGAAGGTACTAAAAAACAAAACAAAACATCTAACCCCCAATAAAGGTGGCGATGGTGATGGTGGCGGTAGGTGGGGGGCATGAATCTGCCAAAGGGACACAGGGGAGAGCTGAAAGGGCCAAAGTTGGAACAATTTAATCCTTTTCCCATTTAGGAAAAAAAAGTGCAGCTCGCTGCCAGCGCTCATTTAATTTTAAATAAACATGCTCTTTGAGGCTAAAGCAAATCTGACTGATGTTCAATATGAAAATAAAACAGAAAAACTGTTCTTGGAGTTATTTCTAAACAGAACTAACATCAGAATTATCTGAATCATCAGAATTGTCTATTTCAGAAAAATCGGATTCATCAAATGAATCTTCGGCCAACAACTGTTCGAGAACTATGTTAATTAACCTCACATGTAGGAATCCTGTATTTCCTAGGATTTGACATTTTCAGTGATTGAGAAGTACTATATTTTGTAAATGGAAAAACCACTACTAAAAACAGAATGGTATCAGTAGAACGATGTCTTTTCTTTCCCAATTCCATATACTAGAGGGATCCGAAAATAATAATAAAAGTGAGATATTTCGTGGCAAAGTTATCTCGAGGTAAACGCTGCAGCTGCAAGCACCACCAGCGAATATTCCCGAGGCAAACGGGGAAAGGGTTAAGGAACAAAGTAATAAAGTAGTATTCGATTATAACCCAAAGTACAAAATACATATCCATGAGCCCATATTGACATACGTAAGTGATTGGGTGAATAAATACATGGGTGAGAAGGGACAAATCTTCCATGCATGAGAATTCCAAGTAATTTTCTATAGATACTCTGCTCTTTTTAAATTATTATACTTTAAGTTCTGGAATACATGTGCAGAACGTGCAGGTTTGTTACATAAGTATACATGTGCTGTGGTGGTTTGCTGCACCCATCAACCTGTCATCTAGATTTGAAGCCCCACATGCATACATGCATTAGGTATGTGTCCTAATGCTCTCCCTCCCCTTGCCCCCCATTCCCCAGAGCACCTCAGGGAAGGGGCGATACTCTGCTCTTAAAGAGGTGGAGCTTACCTCCCTGCTTCCTAAGGGCGGGCTGCACACAATCCCTTTCTTCCAAAGAGTCAGTATGGAAAGGGGTTTTAGAAAAGAGAAACATTACAGTGAAGAAATCTGACAAACGCTCCCTCAGCCAGGTGGTCAAGGTCAACATCAACAGTGATACGCTGTTTTAATAGTAAGTACCCTTGATATGACGTGATGGAAATGGCATTTCACCTCTGCGGTCTCCTTCCTAAAAAATACACGAACTAGTCACAAGAAAAATAACAGTCAAGTTACAATTAAGGGATATTCTACAAAATATCCTGATCAGTACTCCTCCAAACTGTCGAGGTCACCCAAAATAAGGAAAGTATGAGAAATTGTCACAGCCAAGAGGAGCTTAAATATAATGCAATATCTTAGATGGGATCCTGAAGCAGAAAAAGGACATTATATAAAAACGGAGGAAATCTGAATGAAGTATGGACTTTAGTTAAAAAAATGTTGGCAAGGCGTGGTGGCTCACACCTGTAATCCCAACACTTTGGGAAGCTGAGGTGAAAGGACCGCTTGAGCCCAGGACTTCGAGACCAGCCTGGGAAACATAGTGGGACCCAGCCTTTCCAAAAAAAAAAAAAAAATTATCTGGGCATGGTGGTGTGCACCTGTATTCTCAGCTACTCCGAAGGCTGAGGCAGGAGGATCTCTTAGCCTGGGAGGTGGAGTAACCCGTGATTGTGCCACTGCACTCCAGCCTGGGTGACAGAGTGAGACCTTGTCTCAAACAAAACAAAACAAACAAGGCCGGGCTGGGGGCTCACGCGTGTAATCCCAGCACTTTGGGGGGACGAGGTGAGCAGAGGAGGTTGGGAGTTCAAGACCAGCCTGGCCAACATGGTGAAAACCTGTCTCTACTAAAAATACAAAAATTAGCCAGGCATGGTGACATGCGCCTGTAATCCCAGCTACTCAGGAGGCTGAGGCAAGAGAATCACTTGAGCCGGGAGGCAGAGGTTGTAGTGAGCTGAGATTGCACCACTTCACTCCATCCTGGGCGACAGAGTAAGACTCCGTCTCAAGAAAAACCAAAAACCAAAACAAAACCAATAAAGTATCAATACTGAATCATCAATTGTGAAAGATGTACCATACTAACATGTTAATAACACAGGAAACTGAGTGTGAGGCATATAGGAACTCTCTACCTATCTGTGTAATAGCTCTATAAATCTAAAGCTATTCTAAAATTTAAAAGTTTATTTTTAAAAAGGTTATCTCTCTCGCAGGGTTGTGAAGATTAAAATGCAAGGAAAATGCTTAGCACAGTCCCTAGCAGGTGGTAAGTGTTCAGTGCATGGCAACTCAGTTATTATTAGGTACCAGAGAGGAGAGACACTGCAGTTGGCAATGCACCGGAGAGTGTATGAATATATGAATTACGACTCTAATTCCCAGTTCTGGCCACAGCCCCTTGTCAACAGATAGCACACAAGAGCCGCTCACCTCCTGGAGAGGGCCACCACATTGGGTTGCCTAATTTGCATCTCTGTAAAAACCTACAGATCAATGGGTGGGTGGCGGTAGCAGTGCCAGCTGATGCACTAATCATAGCAAAGATTGACATATTAGGGCTCGCTGATTTGTGCAGAGCCAATCAGAGCAGAGTGTGCACAGCAGCAGCCCCCAAGGGAAAGGAGTTCCTCCCACAGAGCTTTCCTAGCTGCATGGCGATGTCACTGGCTCCCCTGCAGGGCTGCACGCTGCCTCTCTGGTTAAAGATGGAAACTGGATCTTGTGCTCCAACTTGATCCCTTGCACCAGCCAATGATGAGATTCCTCATGCCAGCCACCCCCTTTGTACCAGCCACCAGCCAGGATGAGAGACCGCCCCTATCTACCAGGTCACATGGTTTACTCTAGGGCTCAAATACCTGTGGCATTGACTCAGTCCTTGCCCCAGTGGGCCTCTATCATCTGGACATAGACCAGAAAGAGCAGTGGGCAGTCAACTGGCTTTGGAGAAATGTAAGTTATGGAGAAACAAATCCAGGGGTAAGAAATCCAATACTCAGTGTGTTATTTCGCATACTTGGGTTGCAAGTGATAGAAACCCAACTCAGCTAAGTTGGGATGGGGTGGGGTGAGGGATGTGACATTTATTAGGAAGACAGAGAGATTAGCTCACACATCCAGACCTCAGGAAGGCAGAGTTGGGGCTTCCAGGGACCACCCACCAGAACCCGCACTCCAGTATTGTGAAGAAACCCCCTGTGGGTTTCTTGTTTTCCCTCCTTGCTCTCAAGGCTCCTTCCCCTGGGCAGCTGGAACCGTGGCACAGACAGCTCCCAGATCCACTATTACCCCAGCTTCACCAACAGAGAGGGAAAAGGCACTACTCACCTCCCTCCTCTTGCCAAGCTTCATTTAAAAAAAAAAAAAAAATCCAGGAAGGACACTGATTGGTCCATCTTGACTCACATGCTCTCTTCTAAACCAATCAGGTCCAGGGCAGCAGTGTCATGGAAGTTGTTTGCTCAATTCAGAACACAGGCTAGCATTAGGACAGTCCAGGGACAGAAACCACTGTAGTTATTTAAACACAGAAAGCCTAATATAAAGAATCTCGAATTATATGTAAAATAGTGAATCGAGTGACTGAAAAGGTAAAAAGAGAACTCGAATGGGTGGCAGAGTTAACAGCTGCCTGAGACAGCTGCTAACCCCAGGGCTGGAGGGAAAAAGGGAAGAGGTTGGAATAGTTAAAAGTTAGAAATTTAAAGGAGGGGACCCAGGTTTTTGAGAAAGAGGTGCCAGAGGCGCCAGCTGGTTCGTATCTCTGACGGGAATGCAATAAAGCTGATTCAACAAGAGGTAGGAAAACTGCAAATTGAATTCAGTTGCCGCCATAGGACTGCACTATCGCAGAGGGTCAAACAAACCTGCTACATCCATACAATGGACCATGATTCAACAACCAAAAGGGGCCAGGCACGGTTGATGGCTCACACCTGTAATCCCAGTGTGTCCGGAATTGGTGGGTTCTTGGTCTCACTAACTTCAAGAATGAAGCCGCCTACCCTCGAGGTGAGTGTTACAGTTCTTAAAGCCGGTGTGCCCGGAGTTTGTTCGTTCTGATGTTCGGATGTGTTCGGAGTTTCTTCCTTTTGGTGGGTTCGTGGTCTCACTGGCTCAGGAGTGAAGCTGCAGACCTTCGCGGTGAGTGTTACAGCTCCTAAGGCGGCGCGTCTGGAGTTGTTCGTTCCTCCTGGTGGGTTCGTGGTTTTGCTGGCTTCAGGAGTGAAGCTGCAGACCTTCGCGGTGAGTGTTACAGCTCATAAAGGTAGTGTGAACCCAAAGAGTGTGCAGCAGCAAGATTTATTGCAAAGAGCAAGTGTGAAAGGGGACCCGAGCGGGTTGCCACTGCTGGCTCGGGCAGCCTGCTTTTATCCTCTTATCTGGTAGCACCCACATCCTGCTGATTGGTCCATTTTACAGAGAGCCAAGTGGTCTGTTTTGACAGGGTGCTGACTGGTGCGTTTACAGTCCCTGAGCTAGACACAAAAGTTCTCCGTGTCCCCACTAGATTAGGTAGATACAGGGTGTCGACACAAAGGTTCTCCAAGTCCCCACCAGAGTAGCTAGATAGGAGTGTCCACTGGTGCATTCACAAACCCTGAGCTAGACACAGGGTGCTGATTGGTATATTTACAATCCCTTAGCTAGACATAAAGGTTCTCCAAGTCCCCACCAGACTCAGGAGCCCAGCTGGCTTCACCCAGTGGATCCCGCACTGGGGCCGCAGGTGGAGCTGCCTGCCAGTCCTGTGCCGTGCGCCCGCACTCCTCAGCCCTTGGGTGGTCGATGGGACTGGGCGCCGTGGAGCAGGGGGCGGCGCTCGTTGGGGAGGCTCGGGCGGCACAGGAGCCCACGGAGTGTGGGGAGGCTCAGGCATGGCGGGCTGCAGGTCCCGAGCCCGGCCTGCGGGGAGGCAGCTAAGGCCAGGCGAGAAATTGAGCACAGCTGCTGCTGGCCCAGGTGCTAAGCCCCTCACTGCCCGGGGCTTGCGGCCCGCCGGCCGCTCCGAGTGCGGGGCCCGCTAAGCCCACGCCCACCCGGAACTCGCGCTGGCCTGCAAGCGCCGCCCGCAGCACCGGTTCCCGCCCGCGCCTCTCCCTCCACACCTCCCTGCAAGCTGAGGGAGCTGGCTCCGGCCTTCGCCAGCCTAGAAAGGGGCTCCCACAGTGCAGCAGTGGGCTGGAGGGCTCCTCAAGCGCGGCCAGAGTGGGCTTCCAGGCAGAGGAGACGCCGAGAGCGAGCGAGGGCTGTGAGGACTGCCAGCACGCTGTCACCTCTCACCAGCACTTTGGGAGGCCGATGTGGGTGGATCATTTGAGGTCAGGAGTTCGAGACCAGCCTGGCTAACATGGTGAAACCACATCTCTACTAAAAATGCAAAATTAACCCAGCAGTAGTGGTACGCGCCTGTGATCCCAGCTACTTGGGAGGCTGAGCCAGGAGAATCACTTGAGCCTGGGAGGCAGAGCTTGCGGTGAGCCGAGATGGTGCCACTGCACTCCAGCCTGGGTGAGAGAGTGAGACCCTATCTAAAAAAAAAAAAGGAACAGAATACTGATACTAGTACACAGATAGACCTCACAAATATCACACTAAGTAAAAGAAGTCATATGCAACAGGACACCAAGTGAAGTGTATGCTTCCATTTAAATGAAGTGTCCAGAAAAATCAAAACTGCAGAGACAGAAAGTAGATTAATGGTCACCTAGGGTGGGGATGAGGCTGGCACAGAGTTACTTTAGGGAGTGATGAAAATAGTGTAAGATCTGATTGTAGCTATGGTTGCACAGCTCTGTCAGTATACTAACATTATTAAATGGTACACTAAGAAGCTTAGAAGGAGTGAATTTACAGTATGTAAATTATACCTCAATAGAGCTTAAAATAAAATTCAGAACACAAGTAGACAGAAAACCCTAAGCAGCAGCAAATTCCTTCACCTTCTCTTGCCTTTCTGCGTCTCTCTAATGCCCCCTATGTGCAGAGCCTCAGCAGGAAAAGCTTTGCAGCTGGGAAAGCAGAAATTTGCTCATGAAGTTCCAGCCTCCACCTCCCAGAGCAGGATAGAGCAGGTTAATTTGAAGCAGAAAGACAGTTACTTAATAACTGTTGCAGGAAGGTAAGTGCTGCCCAAAAGAAGGAGGGTTCCTGGAAAAGGGCTGGAAGATTTGCCAGGCAATCTGCACAATAAAATTCCACATCAGAGGGCCTGGCAGGCTGGGGAAAATGGGCAGGAACTCAGACTCAAAATCCTGGAGAAGTGGGAACCTGTAGAGTGCGAGAGAGACTCTGTTGACCCCGGGAGTCAAAGGGCAGGGCAGGTGCTGATAAGCAAGGAGTCAGGGATTGGGGGTGAAATGGTTCTGAATCTGAAGACTTTGTGGACAGGGAGCACCTTGTTCTAAAAGACATGACATCCTCAGAGTCAAGGAGCATGCCAGTCTCACCCATGGCAGGGGAAACTCTTCCCAGTGGTGTGGGTTTGTGAGAGCTACGGGGTCTGAAATACTCCCATTAAAGGGCTCATTCATTTGAGATCACCCCTTTCCACCCTTACAAGACGCAAATACTCTTAAAATGGCAGCCCGGGTTTTTATCAGTCTAAAGTATGTATTGCGTGACTACCATGTGCCAGGCACTGTGCTACTTCCCGGCATTTCTAAATCACTCCTTCCCCTGACAGGAGAAAACACCGGCAGATGAGAGGGATAAGGAAATCGAGATAAGGAAAGTTCCTGAACGCCAAAGCGTCTGGACACTCAGGAAAGTCCAGCCTAGAGACACAGAAAGTGGATCTGTAGTTGCCGGGAGTTGGGGTTCAGGGGGCAGTGACAGGAAGTGGGCATGCGGTTCCTTCCTGGAGTAATGGGAATGTTCTGAAATTAGGTGGTGGGGATGTTGCACAACCCTGACAATAAACTGTATCAGCAATCATAGATACAGTCACTAAACTGTGCACTTAAAATGGGTGAATTTTATAGTATGTACATTTCCCTCAATAAAGCAATTTAAAAAAAGGAAAGTATCTCAAAAGCAAGTGTTTAGGGACACGTGAGTAGATAAGGACAAGATGTCCACTGAGGACTCAGCATTCAGCCAGCACAGGGGCTGCGGCCATGAAAGACCTATGAAGCCGATTTCTACTGCCACACCCTCCCTGTTGCAGCTGTGCCGGGGCTGCCTCTGGCTGGGCCTTCCTGGTGGCCCTGAGGGAGAAGGCATTGCTTATCAGATTGGTCAGAGTTTCCAGACATTCATCTTCTCCCTTTACTGGTGAGCAGGATCATCGCATGCTCAGTCCCACATTCCTGCCTGTCTCTCCCCACTATCGCTGTGCCTGTGAGGGAGGGTGACTGAGAGTCAGCCCAAGGGCAAGCCCTGGCAGGGAGCTCTGCCCTCAGGTTCCTTTTTCCATGCAGCCTGAGACTGAGATTCAGGTGTAGGATGAGGCTGTATGGCTTGTGGACGCCCACCCAGCTTTTACCACCATTCTGCAAAGAGGTTACTGGGTTCTGGCTCAGCTATTAATAAAATGGTATATTCATTCCTACTCTGTACTTGTCACTTTGTGTGTGTGAAAAATAAGGCAGCATTTGAGCATTTCTGGTCTCTTGCTATAAAACAATCAAACACCATCCAACTCTCAGCTATATTGCCTTAGAGCATTCCAGGTTGAATTAACGATGTGCTTAATTGTAGCTGTTGCAAATTCATATACTGGTTTGCAGCAGTAGGGCTGGACACTTACAAATGAGCCTGGCTATTAACTGACCAGTGATTCTAACACTTTAATGTGCATACGCATGACTTAGAAGCTCTCCCTAAAATGCAGGTTCTGATTCCGGAGGTTGGGATGACACCCTGGATTCTGTGTGTCTAATAAGCTTCATGTGTTGGTGTCCTTGCTGGTGGTTCGTGGACCACAAGTTGAGCAGCTTGCATCTAGAGTTTCTCTGCCGCTATGAAGCTTCTGCTCCTTCTCCTGGAGCATCCACCTGCACAGGAAAGGCCAGGCCTTTTCCCAGCAGAAGCTCATGCGACCCACTGGGCTCTCTGGGTGTGCACTGAGGGACTCTAGGCCTCGACATCAGGTCCCGGCTCCAGATCCTGCAGTGGCTGCAGGTCAGAATCATAGCCATAGCAAAGGCAGCAGCTGCCTCACTTACCACCCCCCTCTCACCCCCCACCCCGCCTCCCACCAGCAGAGAATGTAAGGAACAGCTGATTAAGCAGAAAGGGACATGCTCCAGCTGAGATCAGCCATTCACCAAGGACTCCCTTAGTCGGGAGAGGACAAGCGCCATATGTCCCCTGCTCAGCACCTTTGAGGTCTGACTCCTGCAGGTGATGGGCCCTGAAGTGCTGCCAACAGCAAACAAGACAGAATTTGCTGCTGAAGGCAGAAAAAGCCACCCCTGAGCTCACTTTGCCATTGCCTGAGCCAGAGAACATGTGCTTAGCATCACTAGGTGCCTTGGACACAGACAGAGGTGATGAAGACCAGGTTCTTGTCTTTGGGAGCCCACTACCCTGGGCAATGTGAAGTGTAAATACCCGTGGGCCATGGCAGGGTAAAAAGGAGGCCCCAATACAGAGAAAAACTGCTTAGGAATAGGGAGACACATGCCAGTAGGGAGAAGAAACTCCCTTGGAGAGGGTGGCATCAGAGCTGTGTCTGAAAGTGTGGGTAGGATCATAGTGGGTGGAGATGAGCGGAGAGAGAGATCACAGTCTATGTGGGAGGAAATGTAGAAGGGGGATGTTGAGCGCATGTCTGAAGAATGGAGGGTCCGTATGTGCCTTTGATAAGGAAAGAGATGTGCAGTGCACCGTGCCCGTTAGCATCTGCTGTGTGCTACACACTTGGTGGACATAGTAGAGGCTACAGGAAGTGAAAGAAAAGCAAATACTCTGAAAATGACAACACATTTGTGCATTCTAAAATATCCAGAGGTCACAGGCAGAAAGGGCCATGAGCAAAAGACAGAGCAATAGAGTTCAGAGAAGGGGTTACATTCCTTGGGGCCTGTTTTTGGAGAACTGTGGGTACCTAGGAAGCAGCCAGGCGGGCAGGCAGGCAGACTATCTGATTAACCAGGAACTGGTCTTCCTATATAGAGAACTAGAAAGTGTGGCCCTTTTCCCTTGGTGTTCTACCTCCGCGTTCAGCACCTTCTCCCCACCTGCCTGACACTGAAGGATCTGTTCGGTATCCCTGGGCTGTGCCCTTGACAAGCTGCTATGGCTGTTAAGGGTGACCTGACATATAATAAGGAAAACTATCCAAAGCCTGGAAATAAGGCCAAGAAGATATTTGTATGTCCTTTCAATGTTGTGCTGAAATATTAACAGGCTTGCCTAACAATTATTAATCTTCTGGGAGAATGTACTATATTGTTTGACTATCCTGTTTACTATTAACTGAGGGCTCAAACTCTGAAGTTACATGTTAGCCTGCAGAATTGTGTAGATGCAAATGATTCCCATCCAGTAGAAAAGATAACCTCAAAGATTAGGGTTAATTGCCCTGTAGCATGTTAACCAGTTTTGTATCTAACCTATGTATCCAATATTCTTTCTTTAATAGGACTGTATAAACTCCAATGCTTCAAATGCTTTTTGTTTGTTTATGGCTTTTAAAATTTTCTTTCCAGCTATGCAGCTCTGGGCACAGTGGCTTGCACCTGTAATCCCAGCACTTTGGGAGGCTGAGGGGGGTGGATCACGTGAGGTCAGGAGTTTGAGACTAGCCTGGCCAATATGGTAAAACCCTGTCTCTACTAAAAACACAAAAATTAGCATGGCGTGGTGGGTGGGTGCCTGTAATCCCAGCTACTTGGGAGGCTGAGGCACAAGAATCTCTTGAACACAGGAGGTGGAGGTTGCATTGAGCCGAAATCTTGCCACTGCACTCCAGCCTAGGCAATAGAGCAAGACTCCATCTCAAAAAAAAAAAAGAAAGAAAGAAAGAAAGAAACTAGTTTTAATAATGTTTTCTTCTCAATTCAAGCTATTATTCTCATTAACATGTTTCCTATAGCAATTTCCATTAGAAAGAGTTTTTTATTGTTATTTTTAAAATTTTAAATTATATTTTATTTTTTATTGATATATCATAGTTATACATGTTTTGGGGGTACATGTAATATTTTGATACATGCATACAATGTGCAATGATCAAATACAGGTAATTGGAATATCCATCACTTCAAACATTTTTCTGTTGGGAATATTATAATTCATCTTTTCTAGCCATTTTGAAATATACAATAAATCATTGACTATAATTTCCCTACTGTGCTATTGAATAGAAGAACTTATTTCTTCCATCTAATTGTATTTTAGTCCCCATTAATCAACTTCTCTTTATGCCCCATTCCTCCTTCCCTTCTCAGCCTGTGGTAATTACCATTCTAATCTGTACCTTTGTACGATCCACATTTTTTTTTTTTAGCTTCCACATATGAGTGAGAACATGTGATATCTTTCTGTGTCTGGCTTGTTTCAGTTAACAAAATGACCTCCAGTTCCATCTACATTGCTGGAAATGACAAGATTTTATTATTTTTTAAGGCTGAGTAATATTCTATTGTGTACATGTCCCACATTTTCTTTATCCATTCATCTGTTGATGGACACTTAGGTTAATTCCATGTCTTGGCTATTGTGAATAGTGCTGCAATAAACATGAGACTACAGATATATCTTTGATATACTTAAATCCTTACTTTTGGATATATACCCAGCAATGGGATTCCTGGATCATATAGTAATTTTATTTTTAGTGTTTTTGAAGAACTTCAATACTGTTTTTCATAATGACTGTATTACTTTACATTCTCACCAACAGTGTATGAGCATTTCTCTGTATCCTCTCCAGCATTTATTATGTTTTTTTTTCTTTTGTCTTTTTGCTAATAGCCCTTTTAATTGTGGTGAGATAATAGTTCATTGTGGCTTTGATTTGCATTTTTCTGATGGTTAGGGATGTTGAGCATTTTTTCATATGTCTGTTGGCCATTTGTATGTCTTCTTTTGAGAAATGTCTATTCAGGTCTTTTGCCCATTTTTAAATTAAATTATTCAATTTTTTTGCTATTGACTTGAGTTCCTTATATAGTTTAGTGATTAACCCTTTGTTGGATAGATCATTTGAAAACATTTTCTCCCATTCTGTAGGTTGTCCCTTCACTTTGTTAACTGTTTCCTTTGCTGTGCAGAGGCCTTTTTAGCTCACTGTAATCCCACCTGCCTATTTTTCCTTTTGTTCCCTGTGTTTTTGAGGTCTTCTCCAAAAAATGTTTGCTCAGACCAATGTTCTGTAGCATTTCACCTATGTTTTTTTCTAGTAGTTTCAAAGTTTCAGGTCTTACATTTAAGTCTTTAATCCCTTTTGAGTTGACTTTTGTAAATGGTGAGAGATGGGGGGTCTGGTTTCATTCTTCTGTATGTGGATATTCAGTTTCTCCAGCACATTTATTTAAAAGACTGTCCTTTTCCCAATATGTGTTCTTGGCACCTTTGTTGAAAATCAGTAGGCTGTAAGTGGTTGGATTTATTTTTGAGTTCTTTATTCTGTTCCATTGTTCTCTGTGTCTGTTTTTATGCCAATGCCATGCTGTTTTGGTTACTACAGTTTTGTAGTATAATTTGAAGTGAGGTAGTGTGATGCCTCTAGCTTTTTTCTTTTTGCTCAGGATTGCTTTAGCTATTCAGGGTGTTTGTGGTTCCCTACGGATTTTAAGTTTGTTTTTTCTATTTCTGTGAATAACATCATTGGTATTTTGGTAGGGAGGGCATTGAAAATATAGATGGCTTTTGGTAGGAGAGACATTTTGACAATATTAATTCTTTCAATCCATAAGCATAGGATATGTTTGCATTTGTATGTGTGTTCTCTTCAATATCTTTCATCAGTGTTTTACAGTATTCCCTATAGAGATCTTTCACTTCTTTGGTTAAATTTATTCCTAGGTATTTTATTTTTTATTTTTGTAGCTATTGTAAATGGGATTGATTTCTTGACTTATTGTAAGCTAGTTTGTTATTGGTGTATAGAAACACTACCGATGTTTTTAGCTGAGCATGGTGCACACACCTGTAGTCCCAGCTACTGGGGAGACCAAGAAGTGAGGATCACTTGAGCCCAGGAATTTGAAACTTCAGCTAACTATAATCACACCACTGTACTCCACTGACACAGCAAGATCCCATCTCTATTAAAAAAAAAAAAAGATGGCCAGGCACGGTGGCTCACATCTGTAATATCAGCACTTTGGGAAGCCAAGGTGGGAGGATTGCTTGAGTCCAGAAGTTTGAGACTAGCCTGGGCAACATAGGGAGACCTCATCTCTACAAATAATTTTTTAAAAAATCTGGGGTTGTGGTGGTATGTTCCTGTGATCCTAGCTACTCTGGAGGCTGAAGTGGGAGGATCACCTGAGCCTGGGAGGTCGAGGATGCAGTGAACTGTATTTGCACCAGTGCACTCTAGCCTGTGCAACAGAGCAAGACCCTGTTAAAAAAAAAAAGGAATTACTGATTTTTGTATGTTGATTCTGTATCATGCAACTTTGCTAAATTTGTTGATCAGTTCTAAGACTCTTTAGGTTTTTTAAACTTAAGATCATGTTGTCTGCAAACAAGGTTAATTTGACTTCCTCTTTTCTCATTGGATGCCGTTTATTTCTTTCTCTTGTCTTATTGCTCAGACTAGGACTTCTGGTACTATGTTGAATAAAAGTGCTAAAAGTGAGCATCTTGTCTTGTTCCAGATCTTAGTGGAAAGGCTTTTAATTTTTCCCCATTCAGTATATTAGCTGTGGGCTTGTCATATATGGTCTTTATCATGTTGAAGTATGTTCCTTCTATACCCAATTTTTTGAGGATTAAAAAAAATTTTTTTTAGGTCAGGCATGGTGGCCCACATCTGTAATCCCTGCACTTTGGGAGGCCAAGGCAGGCAGATCACTTGAGTTCAAGAGTTCAAGACCAGCCTGGGCAACATGGTAAAACCTCAGCTCTACCAAAAAATACAAAAACTAGCTGGGCATGGTGGCATGTGCCTGTAATCCCAGCTACTCAGGAGGCTGAGATGGAAGGATCTCCTGAGCCTGGGAGTTTGAGGCTACAGTGAGCTGTGATCACACCACCGCACTCCAGCCCGACTGACAGAATGACTGCAGCAGCAAAACCATAGCTCACTGCCATCTCAAACTCCTGGGCTCAAGCAATCCTCCCACCTGAGCCTCTGGTGTAGCTGGGATTACAGTTGCATGTCACCGTGCCTGGCTTGTTGAGGATATTTATCATGAAGGGATGTTGGATTTTGTCAAATGCTTTTTTAGTACCTACTGAAATGGTCATATGGCTTTTGTCCTTGATTCTATTGATGTGAAGTGTCATGTTTGGTGATTCACATATGTTGAGCCATCCTTGCATCCCTGGGATGTATCTCTCTTGATCATCGTGAATGATCTTTTCAATATGTTGTTGAATTTAGTTTGCTAGTATTTTGTTGAGAATTTTGCAGCGATGTTCACCAGGAATATTGGCCTGTAGCTTTTTTTGTTGCATCTTCTAATCCTCTTTGAACCAGCCTTACCATTTCACTGTTTCCCTCATTAATGAATGAGTTGAATAAAGTTTTCAACCTGTGTTCAGTAAGAAAGTCATGCTTTTAGCTGGGTGCAGTGGCTCACACCTGTAATTCCAGCATTTTGGGAGGTTGAGGCGGGTGGATCACCTGAGGTCAGGAGTTTGAGATCAGCCTGGCCAACATGTGAAACCCTGTCTCTACTAAAAATACAAAAATTAGCCAGGTGTGGTGGTGTGTGCCTGTAATCCCAGCTACTTGAGAGGCTGAGGCAGGAGAATCACTTGAACCTGAAAGGCAGAGGTTGCAGTGAGCTGAGATCTCGCCATTGTACTCTAGCCTGGGTGTCAAGAGTGAAACTCCATCTCAAAAAAAAAAGAAAGTCATACTTTTAACTTTTGAACATTATACCTACCCAGTTAGAAATTGGGGGTTCTAAGTATTATGAGAGAAAAACATGTGAATTGACATTAGAACTTTATGATAGTCATTACTCAATTCCACTGTTAACAAAAGGAACCAGAGATCCCAAGGGGAGTATCCATCAGAAGGAAGAGCTCATATAGACTAATTCAGTATGTTCACAGGTGAGGTTTGAGATTGCTTTGCTCATGATGTGTGGCTCAAGCTGTAAGCGCTCCCCACATGTGGAAACCTTAGGAAACAACAGCAAAATATGTGAGTGTAACACTTAAAGGGCAGTTGCCTTGGTGCCCCTATGTGCAGGTGTCTGGACCAGGTTGAGCATCATTACAGCAGGGCAGGGCACTGGTCACACTGGTCTGCGTGGGACTAGTTTTCATCAAGGCACCATTAGCAGCAATGACAATGGAGACCTAGGTCCCATGTGTGTCTGATCAGATATTCCCACCCCAGTCCCTCTCTGCCTGATATTTGTACTCCAAACTGGTAAACTCGGTCACACCCACTATATATATATGAGGGCATGTAAGAGATTTCCTTTCAAATAAGAATTCCTGGCTGGGTGTGGTGGCTCACACCTGTAATCCCAGCACTTTGGGTGGCCAAGGAGGGTGGATCATCTGAGGTCAGGAGTTCAAGACCAGCCTGGCCAACATGGTGAAACCCTATCTCTACTAAAAATACAAAAATTAGCCGGGTGTGGTGGCATGTGCCTGTAATCCCAGCTACTCAGGAGCCTGAGGCAGGAGAATCACTTGAACCCAGGAGGCGGAGGTTGCAATGAGCCGAGATTGTGCCACTGCACTCCAGCCTGGATGACAGAGCAAGACTACATCTCAAAAAAAAAAGAATTCCTCAGCTAAAAAGGAAAAATTTGGAAAAGTCTTCTCTGGATCTGTAGGCAAGCATGAATAAACAACCAACCCCATGAAGGAGGAAAGGAAAACCCCAGAGAGCATGAGGGTCCTCCAGTGGTCACTTGGATCAGTCTGTGGGGCAGACCACAGCAGCCAGGTTGGGGTTATGTATCAGTTTTGCTATGTAAGAAATAATCCCACATTAGTGGCATAACGTAACAATAATCATTACCACGAAATCTGTGCATTGGCTAGATGGCTCCACCAGTCTAGGCTGGGCTCTGTTGGGTGGTTCTACTTCTTGCTGCAGACCTGTGGGTTGGCAGGGGTTGCTCTGCTCCCTTGCAAGAGGGCAAATGGAAGAACATGAGGCCTCTTAGGCTCAGAACCATGCACCATTACCTCCATTGGCATCATCGGCTAAAGCAAGTCACACAGCCAAGGTCAAGGTCAAATTTTTGCCTATAGTTAGGCCATGGCAAGGGTTTGGATGCAAGGAGGGGTGTGGAATTGGGGCCATCATTCCTAGGAGAGGAAGGATTCATGTGAAACATGTGCTAGTGGCCTATGGAAGCCCCAACCTCCTGTGTGCTTGCCTCCTGCTGGCGCAGCAGGCAGGGCTGGGCTCCCTGTCAGCCGCACCTCCACATGACCAGCCAGTCTCCAAGAAAACCAGGGCCAAGTCACACAACTGAATGGCACTGGGCCTGTGAAAAAATAATAATCGCCTCACTCTTTTTTTTTCTTCTTTCCCTTCCCTCCTCTGATGAATATTTTAATCATTTCAGAGTCGGTTCCTACAGCCCATTAAATTGGTTCTTGTTCCACCTCATTGTGCAGCGGAAGTTTCAAATCAGTTTAATTACCGTGTTGACATCCAGGGACAACGCAACATGTCAAGTGGATTCTAATGGAGGCCTTGTGTTTACTGTGATGGTGTCTACAATTATCAATAAAATTTCTTGCAGCCCCTGTTGCCTTCCCTCATGAGGATGGAGAAGAATTCTAATGACTAGACTGTAGACTGTGAGTTGGGGCCTCAGGACACAGACAGATAATCAGGGAACCAAACAACCACAGTTACTATTTATTGGGTGTGACCCAATGCCCAAGCCATAGTTACTATTTATTGGGTGACCAATTATGTGGTGAGGCTTGGGAGGTATGTAATTGTGTGGGGGTGATGGGCCAGAATTCAGGGAGGGGGTGAGGAATTTCTGGATGTGGCTGAAGTCAGCAACAGTTTCGTAAGAAATTTACTGGCACTGTAGAAAAGAACCGTGTGTGTGTGTGTGTGTGTGTGTGTGTGCCCGCACACGTGTGAGCGCACCTGTGTGTATGTGTGTAAGAAAGAAAGAGAGGTGAGAAACTGGGTGCAGTGGCTCATGCCTGTAATCCCAATACTTTGGGAGGTCGAGGCGGGTACATCACTTGAGGTCAGGAGTTCGAGACCAGCTTGGCCAACATGGTGAAACCCTGTCTCTACTAAAAAAAAAAATACAAAAATCAGCCAGGTGGGGTGGCGGGCACCTGTAATCCCAGCTACTGGGGAAGCTGAGGCAGGAGAATCACTTGAACTTGGGAGGTGGAGGTTGCAGTGAGCCGAGATCGTGCCACTGCACTCCAGCCTGGGTGACAGAGCAAGACCCCGTCTCAAAAAAAAAAAAAAAAAAAAAAGAGAGAGAGGGAGGAGAGAGAAAGAGGTCAAAGAGCTAAGTAATTAAAGAACACACTCAAGCCTTGGTGCTTACAACCAGCAACCCCCAGCCAAGGCCACGCAGATGGGGGAGGTGGAGTGGAGGAATGTGAATTCTGCACATTCTGCAGTCATGGCCACCCCGCCCCCATCCTCATTGTCCAGAAGAAATGGAGGCCATGGTGGACAGGGCTTGCAGCAGCCAGCAGGAGCCCTGGCTGCAGTGAGGTGCCTAGCTAGCTCTCCACCGGTCAACAAGGCAAGAGAGGAGGACAGTGCAGGAGTAGCCCAGAGTTCCAGTGCGACTCAAGTGACAGCAACCACCCAGATTCCTACTCTATGGCAGGCTGGTGAGATTCTCCAAGTTCCTCTCCAGAAGGAAATTGCAATCAGGACCTGATGCCTTCAGCTGATTCTGACCCTGGGGGTAGTGGATTTATCAGGGAAGGACCCCCCAGGAGCAGAAGGCTCAGGTCATGATAGTGACACAGATGACCAAGCCATCTATTCTGAATAGTAGATGAAATGTGTCCTTACAAATACTGCACACTGGAGACATAGAACATAACAGTTGTACACATATTCTCCCTACTCCTTCACAACCTTGGGAAATAGATATTATTTCTATCACTCCCATTTTACACATGAGGAATCAGAGGTTTAGAGGGGTTAAATAAATTGCCGAAGTCACATTTCTTTGATCCCGTAAGGAGTTTTCAGTCCTTCTCCTCTTTGTTCTAATTCTCTGAGGTTAGACCCATTTTCATCCAGCAAGAGCTGGCCAAAGCCTGGTCAGTCCTGTGCATGGACAAGCAGGGCAGCAGGCTGGGAAGAGAAAGCAGCCTGGAGTGGGGCGGATGAGCTGGCTGGAGGGGATGGGGCAGGCTGTATCCCACAGTTCACTGCCAGGGTGACAACAGACACTCAGAGGATCTCTAAGGAGGCTCAAATGTGCTTGAAGGACACAGGGCTTCCTGAAGCTCCCAGGATGCAGGTTTAAATGACAGTTATCCAAATCTCTAAGGAATGGTTGGCTCTGAAGGGCTGGGGAAAAGGGAATCTATAGAAAACTGGACTGTATGCGCTGCATCCCAGATATGTGGTAGGTGTCGTGGCTTTTACATACATTAACAGGTTTTATCATCAAATTTTTTTTTTTTCTTTTGAGACGAAGTCTTGCTCTGTCACCGGGCTGGAGTGCAGTGGTGCGATTTCGGCTCACTGCAACCTCTGCCTCTCTGGTTCAAGTGATTCTCCTGCCTCAGCCTCCCGAGTAGCTAGGACTACAGGTGTGCACAACCACGCCTGGCTAATTTTTGTATTTTTTGTAGAGACGGAGTTTCACCATGTTGGTCAGGATGGTCTGGATCTCCTGACCTGGTGATCCACCCTCCTCAGCCTCCCAATGTGCTGGGATTACAGGCATGAGCCACCACGCGCAGCCTACCACATTCATTTTTAACTGCTGCATAGTGTTCCACTGAACAAACGTGTCTTTTTTTTTCTAATCAGTCCCCTACTAATTAGCTTTTTATCTTTGGTGAGAGAGAAGAAGTAAATGTAGATATCATTCATACTGTTACTAGGGTTTTTCAGTTACAAAAATGCTGCAGTGAGCATCCTTATGCTTACATCTTTGCCTGTATATATGAGTGTCATATAACATCTCTGAATTTTAGTACATTTATTTGAAATGCTTGAAACTAGAAGTGTTTTGGATTTCCATTTTCTTCTGGATTTTGGAATAGTTGCACACTGGTTGCATATCCCAAATCTGAAAATCTGAAATTCTCCAATGAGCATTTCCTTTGAGTGTAATGTGGGTGCTCAAAAAGTTTCAAATTTGGGGGCATTTCAGATTTCAGATTTTTGTATTTGAGATGCTCAACCTATAGGGACATGGCTCCCAGAATAAAGACTACATTTCTCGGCAGTCCTGCATTCAGGTATGACCAAGCAACTAAGTGCTGGTCAGTGGGACATAGCAGAAGCAATGCGTGTGACTCTGGGATTGCGGCTTTACAGGGAAGAAGTGTGGCTGCATACCTTTCCCCATTGGCCCAGGCTGGAGTGTGGATGTGGAGGGGAGCTCTTTTATATTATGCAGATGAGGATAGCAGTCTAGGATAGCAGAGCAACAAAATATGAACCCTGGGCCCA
The DNA here is from genome assembly GCF_000001405.40 of Homo sapiens. Lineage (NCBI taxonomy): Eukaryota > Metazoa > Chordata > Mammalia > Primates > Hominidae > Homo > Homo sapiens. Next base: position 71,153,905 of record NC_000014.9, on the reverse strand, counting down.
CAACAACACAGAATCACACACTCCCACACCAACAGCTGTAGGTTGATTAAGCTGGGCTACTATGTCCAGAAAGAAATATACCTCTGTTGTGTTTAAGCCACTATTATTTGGGTTCTCAATTATGGCAATCAATCCAATACTCTAATTAAAATTAATATATTCACAGGATAAATTCAGAGCAGTGGAATTGCTACATCAAAAAGTATATGCATTAAAAAATTTGATTTCTAATACCAAATTGCCTTTCACAGCTGCTGCACTAATTTAGACTCCCACTAAGAGTACATGATGGCACCTGTTTCGCCAGAGCCTTGCCAACACTGCACATCATCAAGCTTCAAATGTTTGCCCATAGTTGAAAAGCAGCTAATAATTTAAAATTTTATATTAATGTAATTATGATGGAAAGGCAGAGTCTATGCCTATGTTTATTATTTTTTGCATACATTATCTTCCATCCTTATGCCAATTCTATGGCATGTTATTATTATCACCATTTAGTTTACTTCTAAAATGTTAACTGTGCAAGATGGCACAGTGCGTAAGTGACGGAGCCAGCTCTGAATTCAGGTCTGACTCACTCTAAAACCGGAGCTCTTTTATCTGCCTTGCCAGGGTTTCCACCTCCCTATCACCACCTGTATGTGTACTGAACAGGAACATGAGGGCCCAGACAGGCAGATCGGCCTCCATGGCCAGGTCCACCTGGGCCCACTGAAGCATCGATAAATTATGATCATCAGCTCTGACCTCAGGTAGTTGGACTCATGAACTCCTTCTTAAGACAGAGGTAGCTGTGAGGTCTTTTTCTGCTTTTCTCATTGAATGGCTACCAAGCCTGACCAACTTGTAAGCATCTTCAAAAACACTTTTTTCCTTTAGTTGTATTATGTCTAAAACCAGTAGAGAAAATTGCCTTTCAGAATAAAATTTGTAGCATGATCATCAGTAGCCTATATTCTAGGCAGAGAACAGCATCCTGACCAAAAGAAGAGGTCTTTGAGCTTCAATTTCCTCATCTTTATATTGAGAATAATCATCAGCTTTTTATCTTTGGTGAGAGAGAAGAAGTAAATGTAAATGTATGCTTTGTATATAGTAGAAACTCCAAAAATTATACCTATTATTTTTTAATTGTTAAGACTTCTTTCCAATACCCCTGCAGCTCGCAGGTCTATGAAGTACACACATTTATACTGATGTAACTAGGCCTCATTTACAAATTCATTCAGAAAATATGTATTGCTGAGTCTTGACATCTTTGGGCATGACATGAGGATAAGAGTCATAACACCAGCTAACACATGCATAGTGCTTACACCCATCCAGGAACTGTTCTGTCCTTTTCATGTACTGACCCACTTAACCATCACAACCACAACCCTAATCTGGAGGATCCCCATCTTACAGATGGGGGAGTCCGAGTTGAGAGGGACCAGTGAGCCACAACTCTCAGAGCTTAACCCCAGCGGCCTGGGTGAATTTCTTACACCTCCTGTAGCTACACCAGGCTTCTCACCGTTCTCATTGCTGTTCCCAGGTGTTCCTCCCCTTGGAGAATATTCTAGCCACCTGTATTAGCCCATTCCCACATTGCCATAGAGAAATTCCTGAGACTAGGTAATTTATAAAGAAAAGAGGTTTAATTGGCAGGGCTGTGAGCCAATTAAACCTCTTTTCTTTATAAATTACCCAATTAAACAGGAAGCAAAGCAGCTTCTGCTTCTGGGGAAGACTCAGGAAACTTAGAATCATGGCGGAAGGTGAAAGGGTAGCAGCCACATTTTATGTGGATTAAGCAGGAGGAAGAGAGATAGCAGGGAGGTGCTACACACTTTTAAACAACCAGATCTCATGAGAACTCACTCACTATACAGTACCAAGGTGGGGATGCTGCTAAACCATTCATGAGAACTTTGCCCTCATGATCCATCCAATCACCTCCCACCAGGCTCCACTTCCAACGTAGGGGATTACAATTGAATATGAGATTTGGATGGGGACACAGATCCAAACCATATGATTCTGTCCCTGACCCCTCCCAAATCTCATGTTCTCACATTCCAAAACAGAATCATCCCTTCTCAATGGTCCCCAAAGTCTTAACTGTGTCCAGCATTAACTCAAAAGCACAAAGTCCGAGTCTTATCTGAGATAAAGCTAGTCCCTTCCACCTATGAGCCTGTAAAATTAAAAAAAAAAGTTAGTTATTCCCAAGATACAATGAAGGTACAAGCATCGGGTAAATACTCCCATTCCAAAAGGGAGAAATAAGCCAAAAGAAAGGGGCTGCAGGCCACATGCAAGTCTGAAACCCAGCAGGGCAGTCATTAAATCTTAAGCTCCAAAATAATCTCCTTTGACTCCATGTCCCATATCCAGGGCACACTGGATGCAAGGAGTGGTTCCCAAGATCTTGGGCAGCTCCAGCCCTATGGCTTTGCAGGGAATAGCCCCTGTGGCTGCTCTCATTAACTGTTGTTGAGTGCACATTGCTTTTCTAGGTGCATGGTGTAAGTTGTCAGTGGATCTACCATTCTGGGGTCTGGAGGATGGTGGCCCTCTTCTCACAGCTCCAGTAGGCAGTGCCCCAGTGGGGATTCTGTGTGGGGGCTCCAACCCCACCTTTCCCCTCTGCACTGCCCTAGTAGAAATTCTCAGTGAGGGCTCTGCCCCTGCAGCAGGCTTTTGCCTGGACATTCAGGCTTTTCCATACATCCTCTGAAATCTCGGTGGAGGGTCCCAAACCTCAACTCTAGCACTCTGAGTACCCACAGACTTAAGACCATGTGGAAGCTGTGAAGGCTCATAGCTTGCACCTTCTGAAGCAGCAGCCTGAGCTGTACCTGGGCTGCTTTGAGCTAAGGCTGGAGCTAAAGCAGCCAGGATGCAGGGAACAGTGTCTTCAGGCCGCTCATGGTGGCAGGGCCCTGGGCCTGGCACACCAAACCGTTCTGTCCTCCTAGGCCTTCGGGCCTGTGATGGAAGGGGCTGCCATGAAGGTCTGTGAAATGCCTTGGAGGCCCTTTCCCCATTGCCTTGGCTATTCGCTCTTGCTTTCCTTTTAGTAATGCGAATTTTTGCATCTGGCTTGAACTGTTCCTTTGGAAATGGGCTTTTCTTTTCTACCACATGGCCAGGCTGAAAATTTTCCAAACTTTTATGCTCTGCTTCCCTTTTAAATATAAATTCCAGCTTCAAGTTATTTCTTTGCTCGTGCACATGAGCATAGGTTGTTAGAAGCAGCCAGACCACTTGTTGAACAATTTGCTGCTTAGAAAAATTATTCAGCCAGATCCATAAATCATCATTCTCCAGTTCAAAGTTCCACAGATCCATAGGGCAGAGGCATAATGCAGGCAACCTCTTTACTAATGCATAACAAAGGTGACCTTTGCTCCAGTTCCCAATAAGTTCCTCATCTCCATCTGAGACCTCCTCAGCCTGAACTTCACTGTCCATATGACTATCAGCATATTGGTCACAACCATTCAACAAATTTCTAGGAAGTTCCAATTTTTCCCTCATTTTCTTGTCTTCTTCTGAGCCCTCCACACTCTTCCAGCCTCTGCCCATTATCCAGTTCCAAATCCGCTTCCACATTTTCAGGCATTTTTATAGCAATGTCCCATTTCTCAGTAACAATTTTCTGTATTGCCAAGACCAGCTCAGTCATGGGGACCCTAACCCAGTGGTGCTAGAGGAATTAAAGATACACACTCACAGAAATATAGCATGTGGAGTGGGAAATCAGGGGTCTCACAGCCTTCAGAGCTGAGATCCTCGAACAGAGATTTACCCACATATTTATTGACAGCAAGCCAGTGATAAGCGTTATTTCTATGGATTGTAGATTAACTAAAAGCGTTCCTTACAGAAAATAAAGGGATGGGCCGAAATAAAGGGATGGGCCTGCAACAGGAACATGTCCTTAAGGCACAGATTGCTCATGCTATTGTTTGTGGTTCAGGAACACCTTTAAGCAGTTTTCTGCCCTGGGTTGGCCAGGTGTTCCTTGCTCTCATTCTGGTAAACCCACAACCTTCAGCGTGGGCATCATGGCCATCATGAACATGTCATGGTGCTGCAAAGATTTTGTTTATGGCCAGTTTTGGGGCCAGTTTATGGCCAGATTTGGGGGCCTGTTCCCAACACTGTATTAGTTCGTTCTCGCATGACTATAAAGAAATAACTGAGACTGATAATTTATAAAGAAAAGAGGTTTCATTGGCTCACAGTTCTACAGGTTATACAGGAAGCACAGTGGCTTCTGCTTCTGGGGAGGCCTCAGGAAACTTAGAATCATGGCGGAAGGTGAAGGGGAAGCCGACACGTCTTACATGGATGAAGCAGGAGGAAGTCGGGGGGCAGGTGCTGCACACTTTTAAACAACCAGATCTCGTGAGAACTCACTTGCTATACAGTACCAAGGGGGGGTGATGGTGCTAAACCATTCATGAGAATTCTGCCCCCATGATCCAATCACTTCCCATCAAGCCTCACACTGGGCATTACAATTGAACATGAGTTTGGATGGGGACACAGATCCAAACCATATCACTGCCATTTCCTTCCTGGTGCACCTCCAGCATCACCTTCTCTTCCCTCCCTTTGTATTGTTTCCTACCCTACTCCTGCCTCCCTCCAAGCCTTCTCAATTCCCTGCTCTATTGTAGGTCTTCACTGAGACCTGTGACAGCCCTCAAGGGCAGGGATGTGTCTGATTCATCTACGCATCTTGGGCCTGGTCTATCCAGGCAGAGGCAGCCTTTCCAGAGAAGAACTGAGGGAACAAGAACTCAAAGGAACAGACCAGGAGCTCCCTGGCTGAATGGAAGTAGGGAGAATTTTACAATAGTGTCTGGATTCTTAGAGTACTGGCCCATCTCTGTACTTCTTAGAGTATAGGAGAGAAGAGTTGACATCCAGAAAGCCATGAGACCTCATTGAAACAGCAGGGAAATCTGCCATTTGGAAGGCATGGCAGGAACATCTCCTGCCCTGACTCCCTTTTCTGAGACAGAGAGAAGCACTCACAGGAACATCTGCCTACACAGCTTATGGGAGCAACCACTTCCTGTAGACCCTGGTGAGGGCTGGCTGGGGAGAAGAGGAGGGCGGCAGCAGCCCAGCATGTTGCCAGGTGGCTAAACCTCAAGGACAGTATGTGCCCAGTGGATCCCTACGCTGATGTCTCCAGGCTGGGTTTAGGCTGGCCCCTTCTCTTGCGTTTGGGCTTTGTATTGTGGGAGAAGTTTCCCATAGATTGTGTCCTAAGACAAGAGAGTCAGGTCAGGAGAAAGACTTCCTGAGGCTCCCTGAACCTAAGCACCAGGTGCAGGGGCCCAAGGCTTCATGGCTGTGGGGTGCCACGTACCCGCTTTGGCATGTCCAGGAGAACTAAAATCCATCCAATACAAAAAGGGAAAAGTCCAGGGGATTTCCATCAGACAAGAAATCATAAAGTTGTACATGTTTTGCCTGACTTGAACCCAGTTAGATTTCTAGGCGGACCTGGGGAAGAAGTCAGTGGGCCAGAAGGCCACTTTCTTATGGGACTTTGGCCTCTGACTATTGCCGGCAGCACTGGACCAGGAATGTCTTGAGGATGGGGATGGAGTATGACTCTTTTTTGCATCCCTAGCCATTAGCACAATCCATGACATACACTGAGTTATCAATAAGTGTAGGGTCCAGTCCCACAGGGTTGATGGGCTTTCTTCCCATGTGCAGAGACGAGAGAGTGTAGAAATAAAGACACAAGACAAAGAGGTAAAAGAAAAGACAGCTGGACCTGGGGGACCACTACCACCAAGACGCAGAGATCAGTAGTGGCCCCAAATGCCAGGCTGCGCTGATATTTATTGGATACAAGACAAAGGGGCAGGGTAAGGAGTGTGAGCCATCTCCAATGATAGGTAAGGTCACGTGGGTCACATGTCCACTGGACAGGGGGCCCTTCCCTGCCTGGCAGCCGAGGCAGAGAGAGAGAGAGGAGAGAGAGAGACAGCTTATGCCATTATTTCTGCTTATCAGAGACTTTTAGTAGTTTCACTAATTTGCTACTGCTATCTAAAAGGCAGAGCCAGGTGTACAGGATGGAACATGAAGGTGGACTAGGAGCATGACCACTGAAGCACAGCATCACAGGGAGACTGTTAGGCCTCTGGATAACTGCAGGCGGGCCTGACTGATGTCAGGCCCTCCACAAGAGGTGGAGGAGTAGAGTCTTCTCTAAACTCCCCCAGGGAAAGGGAGACTCCCTTTCCCAGTCTGCTAAGTAGCAGATGTTTTTCCTTGACACTGATGCTACCGCTAGACCACGGTCCGCTTGGCAACGGGTGTCTTCCCAGATGCTGGCGTTACCGCTAGACCAAGGAGCCCTCTGGTGACCCTGTCTGGGCATAACAGAAGGCTCACACTCTTGTCTTCTGGTCACTTCTCACTATGTCCCCTCAGTTCCTATCTCTGTGTGGCCTGGTTTTTCCTAGGTTATGATTGTAGAGCAAGGATTATTATAATATTGGAATAAAGAATTATTGCTACAAATTAATGATTGTTATTCATATATAATCATATCTAAGATCTATATCTACTATAACTATTCTTATTTTATATATTTTATTATACTGGAACAGCTCATACCCTCAGTCTCCTGCCTTGGCACCTGGGTGGCTTGCCGCCCACAAATAAGTTTTTATTGATTGAATTAATGAATAGAAGGATAAATAGATAAAAATGAATGAAATGAAGATTAATAATGGATCTTAATGATTCTAGTTTAAAATGCCAGTCATTAGCTAGACCACCCCTCCCACCACCACCACCCAGTAACTAACATCATCTTCTTTCCCAATAATTGGACATGCTTTGTGATAACTTAGGTCACACCTGCCAAGATATCCCAAATTTTACCTACCAAGACTAGAGAACAAGAAAATTTCCATGTGTGCTTCCAGGATAAAATCATTAGACCTTATTAGTTGAAAGACTTTGAAGAACACTGTAACTTCAGTTTCCCAATCTGTAAAATGGGGGTAAAAAGCATAACTATCTCCAATTGTGTCCTGAATTAAATGAGATAATTCATGTAAAGCACTGAGCTGAGTTCAGGGCATCTATTAAATTCTTAATAAGTGCTAGCATCATTATTACCATCATTCCTGGTAGTCCAGGATACCTTTTCTTTTCTTTTCTATTTTTTGCTACAGGGCCACCCACTCAGTCTGCTCCCCAGGCTGGAATGCAGTGCACAATCATAGCTCACTGTAACCTTGAACTCCTGGGCTCAAGCAATCCTCCCACCTCAGCCTCCTGAGTAGCTGGGACTACAAGCACGAGCTACCATGCTTGGCTAATTTTGAAATTTTTTTGTAGAGACTGGGTCTCATTTTTGTTGCCCAGGCTGGTCTCAAACTTATGGCCTCAAGCAATCCTCCTGTCTCAGCCTCCCAAAGTGCTAGAATTGCAGGCATCTACACTGCACCCGGTCTCAGGATACTTTTTCAATGGACTTTAATTCCTTCATACTTTCTGTTTTATAATATTTTGGAGAGTGGGATTTCCCACCCTCAATGTTATTCTTGCCTGCCAAGCACAGGTGTTCTGTCTTTGAAAAGGACAGAGGCTTCTCTTTGAAAGACAGAGCCCCAGGACGGTGGTGGATGCTGCCGCCTTCGGAATATGGTCTCCCCAGAGCAAGCTGGACTGTGAAGTCTGCCAGCCCCAGAGGGACTGAGCAGGAACTAGGTTGAGCAATGGCCTGGTGGCCACTCTGGATCTCCACACTCCCGTCCCGCCACCCCCACCTGCAACAGAGGGCACTCCTCACTCCTCTGGTCTGGGGCTCCCCAGGACAGCTCCAGAGGGCAGGTGCTCTCACTCTGCCCACAAGACTGCTGAACACTGTTAATTTCAGAGCCATAGGGTGGATTCTTTTTCAGGTTGTCAGCAGCATCTATCCCCAACACAGATCCCCTGTCGGCTCCAGCAGGCCTCATTCTGTGAAAGGAAATGGGAGACTCAGGGTCAAATCATTGGAAAAGACAGGAGTTCAGGCCTTGACAGAGCAAGAAAGAGGTCAAAGCCTGAGTTACTAGCTCTACTGGGCTTAATTTCCACATAGGAAGGTAAGGCAAACACAGCAGTGTAGCACGTTGTTGCTGAACGGAACTCAGGTTGATCTGGTCTGACTTTTCCATTGTTCAGTTGAGGACACCAAGAGGCTTGGTAGCCCTGCCCAAAGTCACAGAGAGAGCTTGGGCTGAGCCTGGACTAGACCCAGGTCTCAGGCCTCAGGCTCGACTACCCTTTTTTGTAAGGTCTAGTTTTTGTCGTAAGGGAATGACCACATTTTGTTGAGGCAGCCAGGGACTTATTGCTACCGGCATCTAGTGGGTAGAGGTCAAAGATGCTGCTGAAAATGGCACACATATGACAGCCCCACAATAAAGAACTGTCATGCCCAGAGCGTCAACTCAGCTGACTCTGTTGGCGAGTGTAGGTAACACTCTAGGCTGATCACCCAAGCTTCCTGGAAGAGTGGAATTGCAAGAGGGGAAAAAAATGCAGTGGAAATAGCTTATAGTTTAGCATTTCCACTGTTTGGTGAGAAAACAGGTGTAGTGTCTTTTTTCTGACACTTCTGATACCAAGTGTGTGGAGAGTGTTCCACACTCGTGACCCGTGACTCTGACATCAACAGGAATCCAACAGTCAATTCAGTTCTAACTCCTGGAGTTAGAGCCAACAGTGCATGTTCAAGGCTCCGTCCCAGACTGCCCCTGCTTCAGATGCCAGCCACAAGTCCAAGAAGCCGCCCATACTTCTGACTATACATTTGGGAGTTTCTACAACCCCTTCCTCAGTTTTGATAATTCACAGCTCATAAAACTCAGGAAAACGTATTAATTAACATTTGCCCATTAATTATAAAGGATACAATTCAGGAACAACCAAATGGAAGAGCTGCATAGGGAGGGTGGCAGCCACCACCGTCCTGGGGCTCTGTCTTTCAGATGCACCATCCTTGAAGCGCATCAATGTCTTTCTTTTATTTTTTAAACAGGGTCTCACACCGTCACCCAGGCTGGAGTGCAGTGATGAAATTGTAGCTCACTGTAGCCTCGACGTCCTGGGCTCAAGCAATGCTCCGGCCTCAGCCTTCCAAGTAGCTGAGACTACAGGCACATGCCACTATGTGGCTAAACAAAAAAAATTTGTTTGAGGGGCTGGGCACAGTGGGTCACGCCTGTAATCCCAGCACTTTGGGAGGCTTAGGTGGGAGGATTGCTTAAGACCAGGAGTTTGAGATCAGTCTGGGCAACACAGTGAAAGCTTATCTCCACTAAAAATAAAAAAAGTTAGCTGGGCATGGTGGCACATGCCTGTGGTCTCAGCTACTCAGGAGGCTGAGGTAGGAGGATCACCTGAGCCCAGGAGGTCAAGGCTGCAGTGAGCTGAGATTGTGCCACTGCACTCCAGCCTGGGCAATAGAGTGAGACCCCCCCGTCTCTTAGAGGCTGGTCCTGAACTCCTGGCCTCAGGTGATTCTCTCACCTTGGCCTCTTAAAGCAATGTTTTTCTCAACCCAGAAGTTCTCTGAATCCCTGTCATTTAGGTTTTATTCTTGTTTTTATTAAAACAAAATTTTTTAAAGATATAGGGTCTCTCTATGTTTCCCAGGCTGGCCTCAAATTCCTGGGCTTAAGCAATCCTCCCACCTCAGTCTCCCCAGTAGCTGGAATTACGTTTCAGCCACTGCATCTGATTTCACTTAGGATTTTTTTGGGAGATTTTTATCTGACTTCATTTAGGAGTGTTTTTGCAGGGAGTGGGAGGGCGGGGGCGGGGATTTTAAACACAGCTTTGCTGCTGTGCTTCTCTTACTTTCCTACGTGGAAATTAAGCTCACTAAAGGTAGTAACTCAGGCTTTGACCTCTTTCTTGCTCAAGGTCTGAATTATGCAGGCATGATTGATGAAATCATTGGTCATTTAGTGATTGGACTTTATCTCCAATCCCTTTCCTCTCCTTGAAGGTCAGAAGTGAGGAGGTGGGGCTGAAAGTTCTAATCCTCTAATCACATGGTTGATTTTTCTAGTGACCAGCCCCCATCCTGAAGCTATCTAGGGCCTCTCCATGACTCATCTCATTAGCATACAGGACTATCAGTTCCAAGGATTTTGAGGCGCTGTGTCAGGAACCAGGGACAAAGACCAAATATTTATTTTGTATCATACCACAGCAAGCCCCGGATGGCTCAATGTCTTGGGCTGAAAGGAAGGGGCTGTTTGAGTCAGGAGACAAGAGAACAACAGTGGGAGGTGTCCTCTGTGTTCATACTCCCCTGTGTGGTTTGGTGAGCCTCAGGCTTTACAGGATGTAGGTGATGTGGGCCCTCCGTTACCTCATCTTATACTCAGGCTATGAAATGCGTCAGATGCCAGCCTTCTTGTAAAAGTTGGGGAGAGGCTGCTATGGTCAGAATGTTTTTGTTCCCTCCAAAACTCACGTGTTGGAAACTTAATCCCCAATGCAACAGCATTGGGTGGTGGGGTTTACTGGGAGGTGTTCAGGTCATGAGGGTGGAGCATGAGTGGATTAAAGCCAGTCTAAAAAGGGCTTGTGGATGTGGGTTCCCTCTGTTCTGCATTTCTGTCCTGTAAGGAACAGTGATTGCCCCTGCTCCGGAAGATGTAATGTGTAAGGTACCATCCTGGGGGTGGCCCTCTCCAGACACCAAGCCTGCTGGCACCTTGATCTTGGACTTCCCAGCCTCCAGAACTGTGAGAAATAAATTTCTGTTCTTTATTAATTACCCAGCAATTTTTATAGCTGCACAAAATGGTTTAAGACAGAGGTCATAGCAAGCTTCAGTTTTTACTTTTTCCCCTTGCATCTGAACAATTGCAAGCAGAAAGAACAACTGAGTGCTTTATTTCTGCAACCACCATGCTGCTACTGAGTGAAGGGGAAGGAGGGGTAAGAGCTTGCCTTCTTTCCTTGTGTTAATTGCAACATCTTCCAAAACCCAGCAAGGAAGGCATGAAGTGAGCCTACCAAGGCCAGTCTCCAGATGAGGGGACTATAGCTACAGATTGCTATGTTTCCTGTTGGTGGTGGTAGCAAGATTTCATAGGGGCCTTTCTTGCCATTGCTCAAAATGAAATGCATTGACACCAAAGGAAGTGGTGAAACTGTGGGCATTGTATGCTTTAGAAATTTGATATTTGGAAACCTGCAGACCTGAAGAGGCAGTAGCTTCTCCTGAAGATCTGATATCCAAGGGCTACCCAGACAAGGAGCTGACTTGTCAGGAAGTGTGGTGGACCTTGACGCAAAAACTCAAACCACAAATGTTTCACTTCTAAATTTTTGCAGGCTTTGTTATATAGACATTTTTGTTAAGCCCTGTCTAAAACAATAGGATGACTGGGTTCTTTCCCCTCCTCATGGTGACTACGTGCATCTTCTACGAACATTCCCATGTCATGTGGTCAGCTTCCAAGAAAGACTTTACCAATGAGTCTGTTTACAGATTCTCAACCAGAGGACTTACAGGAATGCACAGTAGCTATTTGTTTGGGATGCAGAGGTACATGAGCCCCAGACCTCATCCCCAATCAGGCAGTTGGGTAGGAATGGTGTGGTTACTGATGGTGGGAGGACAGGGATGGTGGGGACTTTCCTGTGGAGGGCCCACCACTGAAGAAATCTCTCTACCTCCTGGTTTGATCCAGGCTTTCCAGGGATAAAATAAGAGGGGGAAACAAAGAAGTAATCATTCCCCAGCCCCCAGTATGCCCCATCTCTGACTCAGCTCCCAGCAGAGCAGTAATAGGTCCCTGCTTATCAGATGGCATCGGAAGGGGGTGGGTGCCTGGGTGGGTGCCTGGCTGTGTGCAGTGAGGAGGTCTCAGCAGCAGCCTCTGAAGCCAACTGCTTGGCTGGAATCTAGGTGCGCTACTCACTAGCTGGGGAACTTACAGCAAGTTACTTCACCTCTTACGCCTCAGTTTTCTCATCTGCCAAAAGGGAGTACTAATAGCAGCATCATTGACAAAAGCTGAAAGGTGGAAGCAAGCCAAGTGTTCATCCACTGAGAAATGCATAAATAAAATGTGGCCTAGACATACATGGAATACTATTCAACCTCAAAGGAAGAGAATCTGGACGTGTACTGCAACATGGATGAACTCTGAAGACATCATGCTGAGTCCAAGGACAAACACTGTATGATTCCACTTAGATGAGGTACTTAGAGCTGTCAAATTTGTAGAGATAGAAAGTAGAATGGTGCAGGTCAGGCGTTCAACACCAGCCTGGCCAACATGGAAAAACCCTGTCTCTATTAAAAAATACAAAAATTAGCCAGGCGTGGTGGTGTGCACCTGTAATCCCAGCTACTCGGGAGGCTGAGGCATAAGAATCACTTGAACCCAGGAGGTGGAGGTTGCAGTGAGCCAAGATCGCACCATTGCACTCCAGCCTAGGCAAAAAGAGCAAGACTCCGTCTCAAAAAAAAAAAAAAAAAAAAGGAAAGTAGGACGGTGGCTGCCAGGGGCTGGAGGAAGAGGGGAATGGGAAGTTCTTGCTTAATGAGCATAGTTTCAGTTTCGCAAGATGAAGAGTTCCAGAGATGGATGGGAAGATGGATGCACAACAGTATGAATGTACTTAATGCCACTGAACTACACACTTAAAAATGGTTACGATGGTAAATGTTGTGTATGTATATTTTACCACAATTTTTAAAAATAAATAAGGAGAAATATTACCCACCTCAGGGTTGTTCTAGGATTAAATGAGTTAATTCACTGGTTCTCTACCAGGGAGCTTTTGTCCCCTCCACTCTGCCCCCCAGGGGACATTTTGTTCCCGGACCAAACTGAGGGTCAGGCTGCTATTTCTCGCCACCTAATAATGAGATGCAGATGAACTGGGGAGGAAGAGAGGTTTTATTTTCTGCAATCGGTTACAGGGAGAAGGCCTGGAAATTATCACCAGACCAATTCAAAATTACAAAGTTTTCCAGAGCTTGTATACCTTCTAAGCTGTATGTCTACATGTAAGTGTGCATTCATTTAAAGACATAAGTGATTAACTTCTTTTAATCTATAACTAAGGTCTCAGTACTGAAGACCTTCCTCTGGGGCCTCAGTAAATTTGCTTAATCTAAATGGGTCCAAGTGGTGAGGTGATTATCCTTGTCTCCTGTTAAATCACGGAGGTTTGGGGAGTTCCTTTAGACCCCCAATAAACTTATTTGTGGAGGCCTGGGGAGTTTCTTCAGACCCCCAGTAAAACTCATCTAATCCTAAAAGGGTCCTGTTAAGAATTCTTTCATTATTTGGTCATGCTTTAAGGCCCAGGAAAGGCCTAGGCAAGATGCTTGGTGGGCTTCTGCTATATTCCAGCCTTTGTATAAGGGCACTAGCTTTTTTTTAGCTTTTAATGTTTAACTTAACCACTTAGTCAGTACTGAAACAGTTGTTATGGAGGCCTGTGTTAGTGAGACCTGGCCTGCCACAATTTGACAAAAGTTGGTTACCACAACTTGTAGAAGGCTGGTTGGTGCTACTGGCATCTGGAGGGTAGAGGCCAGGGATATGATGTATTGTATCCACATCAACACACCAAAGACCTGTCCCACCCAGGATGCCGAAGTTGAGAAGTTCCAGTGTAAAGTACCTGGTGCAGAGGCCAGAGGCAGTGGCTCACGGCTGCAATCCCAGCACTTTGGGAGGCCAAGGCGGGCGGATCATCTGAGGTCAGGAGTTCAAGACCAGCCTGGCCAACATGGCAGAACCCCCTCTACTAAAAAATACAAAAATTAGCCCGGCATGGTGGTGCAGGCCTGTAGTCCCAGCTACTCCGAAGGCTGAGGCAGGAGAATCGCTTGAACCCGGGAGGCAGAGGCTGCAGTGAGCTGAGACTGCATTACTACACACCGGCCTGGGCGACAGTGAGGCTCTGTCTCCAAAAAAAGAAAAAAAAAACTCCCTCGTAATTTCTATCCGTTGTCCTCACTAAGATTGGGTGTGTGCACACATCCCTCACCTGAGCGTGTGTCGGCAGCAGCACTGAGGCCCCTGCACCGAGAGGCTGGCTGCCCGCGATGTCCTCGTAACCCAGGACGCAAACGATCGTTGTGGCATATTAGAACGCCAGACGCTAGGCGTCCTTCGCTGCAGCGCAGTCACCTTGTCGCCATCAGCGGTCCCCTCTGTGCGGATGGAAGCAGGGCAGTTTGCCCTTTGTTCTCTAGAGGCTGCCCTCACCTCGCTGTCCCCTGAGAGGAAAAGGCTGGTGGCCAAAGGCACATCCAGAGCCACCCTTACAGCCCCGCGTGCAGCCTCTTGTGAGAGTCAGTGCACTTGGCACACAGATTCTGCAACACTCCCGATATTTCCACCGGCGATTGTGATGGTAAGGTTTAGGGTGGCAGGGGTCATATTTAACCAGGAGAAAGAACTTACATGTGGCAAATGCGCAGAAGTATAGTCATGCATAGATGTGTGCACGAGAAACGGCCAGTTGCCAGTAGTGTGCAAACTCGTGGCTTAAACAGGTCCCAAGAGCCTTTCATCCATTGATTTGTCCTTCCGTACCTCTCTTTTGGGATGCGTGCATGTCTAGGGGGTCACTTTTCCATTCCCCTGACCCCAGCACCCCACCCTCAGTCTCTCTCCAGCGTCGGCTGAGCTCCTACTGCCATCTTGTGGCCGTTCACGTAAGGTGCACCAGAGAGGCGGAGCCCCTGCTGTCCTTGTCCTAGGACTTGATTTGCAGAGATTTGGGAGGCTTCCTGACTCTGGGGTGCTCATTTCCTTCACAAACAGAAAAAGAAAAGTCACTCCTGGGCACATTGCTGTCATGTGTGAGGCTGGAAGCACTCCCTACGATGGGATTCTCTCAACTGTCCCTATTTGCATCTCTAGTCCTCACGTAGTGCAATTCACTGTGTGAGTGTGTGTGTGTGAGAGAGTGGGTGTGAGTTTGCGTGAGTGTGAGAGTGTGCGTGTGTGTGTGAGAGTATGTGTGTGTGTGAGAGTGAGTGTGCGTGCGTGTGTGTGTGTGTGTGTGTGTCTGTGATTATTGGTAAGGGGAAGGTACAAGAAGCAGGGTAGGCACTGATGCTAGTACTATACTTCAAAGTCCTCAAGGAAGAAGTCTCGTTTTGAGCCAAGGATTTGGGTGTTTCTAGAGAGAGGGAAAACGTGAGCTCCAGAGCTCATGAAAAGCTCCATCACAACAAAGGATTGTCTTGTCTTTTTAGCCACATCCTCCCATTCACATTGCAGCATATTGAGATCTTGGCACTGTCTCCACTCTTTCTTTGGCATATGGCTTTCAATTTGAGCTCCCTGAGGTGAAGAACCATTCAAGTCCACAACCTGCATCTCACACAGGGCTGAGCCTAGGGAAGGTATTAAATGTTTCTTGAATGAGAGAACCTTATCTTCATTCAGATGCTCTGTGGTCAGCATATCCTGTCGATTCTTCTTCCAGAAATCATTTTCCTATCCCTAGCCCCCTCTCTTTATTCCCAGTGTCAATGGAATGCATGCCATGTGCCATTCGGCCACTCAAATTTTCCTTTATGATGAGATGCTCATTCCCCTTGACTGCACAAAGTTAAGTCCCTCCCCAGGGATTTCCCTCCATCCAAAGGAAACTGATTCACCCAAGGTTAAAGCTCCTCCTGGGGGTAGCCCACATCCTATAACTAATCAATGTTGGCGGGGTGGCCCCAGCCCCTGTACCTCAAATCCAGACAACTCTGAAGGACCATCAGAGACCCAGAACTTCCTATGGGATTGGCTGAGGCCTCTGTGGTGACTGCATTGCAGTTCAGCTTCTCCCTCTGGCCAAAGTGCTTCCTTCACTCCTCACAGGTTGAGGGCTATGGTTGCACTGGAGAAAGACAGCAAAAGGCCAAGGGCAGTTACTCTTTGCGAGGACAAAGTGTTGAAGTCCAACAGGCCTCCTTGGTAGCATATAAAGAGATCCTGATCTTCTTCAACCAGAGGGCAGAAGCAGCTGAGGCTCAGAAGTGAATGGAGCTCCAGAGAAGACTGGACTCTCCATTTAGATGAGTCCACTATGCCAAGGCCCCAGCTGGGAGGGAGACTTGAGATGGGAATCATGGCAGCTCTAGAGCTATCTGTGAGATTGGCTGAAGCCTCTGTCATAACTGCATCACAGTTCAACTTGAGGTTCTTGAAACCCCAGGTCCTCCAAACACTGGCCTGCAGATGTGACCCATACCCCTCTGCTTGAAGACAACTCAAAGACTCCTCATGCCTTTCATAACTTATCCCCACCTCCCTGCGTGGCTAAAAGCTACAGTCAAGCCACAACACAACCAGGCCAGGAATGTACTGGGTCCCTTGAGGGAGAAGGAGACTATACATCAAAGACGCTATAGGGCCTAGCCAGCATGTACTGGCAGAAGCAGAGAGGATATTTATGGGGTGGGATCTGGAGGGCACTGAATCTAGAGAAATAGAATATAAAGTTGGATAATAGAGAGTTTATTAATATGAGGACATTCTTCTATGATACAAGATGAATATCCTGCTGATATGGACAGGAGACAGGGAAATACTGGGTAGAAGAGGGCAGTTCCCTGGCAAAGGTCCCACCTTCAAGCCTGGATACCCATGGCCCTAAATGGGAACAGGCATTCCTGTTTTCATGTTCAAAAGTTGCCTTTTAGCCTGCCACACCCGTTTATCCTGTACCCATATAAACCCCAAACCCCCAGCTCCAGGAGTAGATGAGCAGATGAACAGAAGAGCAGCAGAGAAGGAGAGAAGAGAAGGAACATTGGGAGGAGTTCAGCTGGGGACCGCTGGAGAGGAAATCAGCCTCAGGACAGCCAAACTCCAGGAGAAGATCACCTTCCTACTTCATCCCCTTTCCAGCTCCCCATCCATCCCACTGACAGCCACCTCCACCACCCAATAAAACCCCCACATTCACCATCCTCCAAGTCTGTGTGTCACCTGATTCAGGACACTGGACAAGAGCTCAAGATACAGAAAGCTGTCACACTGGCCCTCTGCCCTTGTGAAAAGGCAGAGAGTCTACTAAGCTGTTTAACACTTAAGCCATTGGTGGATGGCAAAGCTAAAAGAGCGCACTGTAACACATGCCCACTTGGGCTTCAGGGGTCACAGGCGCCCACCCCTAGATGCTGCTGTGGGGCCACAGCCCAGAAACACTCGCCCCAGCTCCTGCACCTGCCTGTCTGTGTGCTCCCCCTCCCATAAGGGGTTTGAGCAGCGGCTGTGGCCAAACAGACAAGCCACACCCCTGTTGCACGTCCTGCGAGGGGGGGTCAGAGAACTCTCCCGTGTCACTGTCAAAGCTCCTATATGCAAATATGCTGCTAGGTTGATTCCTAGAAGCTGGGAAAAAGCACTAGCCCATACTAAGTGAAGTAGCACTGTCAGAATTGCCATGGCAAGTGATAGAGAAAGGGACCGAAGGCCCAGAGAAGTGGGCTTGATAAAACAGGCATTTTATATAAGGTGAGAAAACCCACCAGCCAATTACCTTCCATGGGATGGAGGCCTAGAAAGAATACTTTGACTAGTAAAGTGATCAAAAATGTGTTGATGAGAGGGGCACCAGCATTATTGAAGAAGCTCAGTGGTGGCTGTCCTTTGTAGACCAGGGCTGAGAATAGCAGATGCTCTTATAGAACTCGCTTTCCCTATAGCCACGGGATGATGGGGTTTCAAATTAACAGAGGCCAGGAAGCGCGTGGCATCAGAAACCAGGTGTATGTAATTACTGTAATAAGGAACAAGGGGTGGCAGTCACAGCAGCCTGGCCCAGACAGAATATGACAATTGTTAATAGAACATGGCACTCTGAAGGTCAAGATAGATATGTGGGCAGCCACCAAGGGTCTCACTCAATCTGCACAATCAAGGAGGCTGAGGGAGGCACTCTCATAAAAAGTCACAATCTGTTGTCTAGTTTCTGGACCTGGGCCAGTTTTCAGACCTAGAACTTGGTAGCTGAAAGAAGAGCTGGGCCCTCAGCAGAAACTTGCAACGCCACAGCAATGTATATGGTATGATTACCTTTATTTAGCCTTCCCCACAGGACCTGTGGGCCAAGGGCAATACCCAGAAACTTTGAGGACTGGTTGGACACAGACACAAGGCCTGAGCTAATTGATATTGGACACCCAAGCCACCACCAGGGAGAATGGAGGGTGAGGAGGCCCTATGGGGAGCAGCTAAGAAGGTCCTGGTGCAGGTCTCGCAGTGGGCTCACTGGGTCATAGAACTGTCCCATGGTTATTTCCCATTAAGCATATAAGCAGAATGGACATATTTGGCAGTTAGGTGAACCAACTAGTTAGTCAACCACATTGAGGAAGGCCAAGTGGAAATCTATGAAATTTCTCCCCACTTCCAGTCAAGATGGTAAATCACCAACAATACTATTAATATATCCTGTGGGGACTAGAAGAGACTTAAAGGAGAGGGTTGGTGGCCTCCATATTCCAACTGAATCACTAGTCATCCAACTGCCCAACAGGTGCACATTGCCCGCTGCCTAGACAGAGCCAATTTATCAAGACGGCAATTGCAACGGAGAAAGAGTAATTCACACAGAGCTGTGTGGGAGACTGGAGTTTTATTATTACTCAAATCAGTCTCTCCGAGCATTTGGGGATCAGAGTTTTTTAAGATGATTTGGCAGGTAGGGTCTCAGGAAGTGGGGAGTGCTGATTGGTCAGGTTGGAGATGGAATCATAGGGGGTGGAAGTAAGTTTTTCCTGCTGTCTTCTGTTTCTGGGTGGGATGGCAGAAATGGCTGAGCCAGATTACTGGTCTGGGTGATGTCAGCTGATCCAGGGAGCACAGGGTCTGCCAAATACCTCAAGCACTGATCTTAGGTTTTACAATAGTGATGTTATCCTCAGGAGCAATTTGGGGAGGCTCAGACTCTTGCAGCCAGAGGCTGCATGACCCCTAAACCGTAATTTCTAATCTTGTAGCTGGTTTGTTAGTCCGATAAAGGCAGACTGGTCCCTAGGCAAGAGGTAGGTTTTTTAGGGGAAAGGCTAGTATCAATTTTGTTTCAGAGTCAAATCATAAACTAAATTCCTTCCCAGGATTAGCTTAGTCTATGCCCAGGAATGAACAAGGACAGCTTAAAGGTTAGAAGCAAGATGGAATCAGTTGGGTCTGATCTCTTTCACTGTCATAATTTCCTCAGTTATAATTTTTGCAAAGGTGGGTTTCAGTCAGGCCCTGCAAAAAGCATACAAATGTGGTATATTTCCTAGAGCAAATTAACAGTGTATCAGGTACCTGGCATACAGCCAATCTGGCAAGTGTATTCTTATCCACCCCTGTAGAAAATGAGGACCAGAAGTAGTTTGCATTCGTGAGGTGAATAACCCTATGCATTAACATGACCTTGCCCCAAGGTTATGTTAATTCTCTGCCCTCTGTCAAAAGATAGTCTGAAGAAAGCTGAACCTTCTGGACATGCTGCAGAACATTACATTCATCCATGACATTGATGACATTATGTCGATCAGACTGGATGAGCAAGAATTGGGAAGTCTGGTGGAGATAAACGCTATCAAGACTCAGGAGCCTGCTGGGACATTGTCTTCAAAATAAAGGACTCAAAAGGAATCACATGTCCTATACAATCAACCTGGGTTCTGAGGTCAGCATAGTCCATTCATGGGAACATTATTCTGGCCCATTTGCCAAGACACATGGAAAGCTACCAGCATTGAGTGGGACCCAGGGGAGAAAATAGCTCCACAGCCAGTCCAGGGTGTGATATAAGCAGTCTTGTCACTTGGTCCATACAATCTGGTATTCAAATTATCTGTGATTGAGAAAAAATGCTATATAGAGTTTATGGTAAACCTAACTGGAGAATCACAATGTAGACCCATAGGGTTCTGAAGTAAGGCAACAGAGAACTATATGCTACGGTTTATATATTTGCAACAGAGAACTACATACTATTTGGAAACAGCTCCTGGTTTGCCCCTGGGGTTTGGTAAAGAGTATTTGATCACACAACTTGTCAGACACTCAGCCACATGTCTGAGGGGGCCTAGTAGGAATCCATCCTGAGATTGAAGTGGTACAGAGGGCCTACGCAGACTGTATGAGCAGGTGGTGCAGACCCTCCCGTGTCATTCACTACTGTCACAGAAGAACTTTTCCTCAGCTCACGCAGATGGCCGATGGGGTGAGGGGTGAATCCCTTACAACCAACTGATGGAGGAGGAAAAAAGCCAAGTTTGGCTCAAGATGGGTTGGTTCAATACGTATCTGCAAACCATTAACGGACTACTGCAGCCATACAGCCCCGTGCTGGTGGTCCTTTAAGACAGTAATGAGGGAAATCATTGCAAGGCAAACATCAGGCTATGAGGTCATCCACGTTATGTGGAAAGAGAGCAGAGGCCAGAAAAAAACATGGAGTCACGGGAATAGCAAATGGCTTGGCTAGTTGGTCAGGGGCCTAGGAGAAAGAAAAGACTGGGGACAGGGGTAGAGGCACATGGACGGATCTCTAGGAGTGGGCATGGAATGTAAAGATTTTTGAGTGCAAGTTAACGCTCACCAGAGAGCATCTGCTGTGGAGGAGGCACTCAAAAACCAAGTAGTCCAAATCATTGGTAGTAGTCCAACCAAGTAGTAGTCTAGTTGACATCAGCCATCTTCTTCAATGGCCACTCCTGTGCTGGCAAAATTGGGTGCATGAGAGGAATAGCTATGGTGGCAGCATGGAAAACGTGTAAAAAGATTCCATTCACCAAGAGTGATCTAGCTACTTACTGATGCTGCCAAATATTTAACTTGAGTGCAACAGAAAGCAATGCTGAGCCCCAATACAATACCCATCCTTTAAGGAGGGCAGCCATCCCTCTGATGGCTGGTTGTTCATGCTGAGCCCCTTCCACTCTAGATGGGAGCAGTTGTTTATCTTGACTAGAATTGACACATGTTCTAGGTATGGGTTTTGCCTTTTCTGCTTGCATAGCTTCAGCCAACAGTATCATCAAGGATTTATAATGTGTCTGATTCACCAAATACATGACCATGGGACCCACTGATCCTATCACATACTGTAGAAGCTGGTGACTTGATAGTACAATTGGATGGTCCTTTAAAAGTACAGCTGAGATGCCAGTTTGTAAATAATATTCTTTGAGGATGGGGTAGCATCCCTTAGGATGTGGGGTACACCCTAAATCAATGACTGTTATTTTGGTTATGTGGCCCCAATGGGTGGAATTCATGAAACTGAGAACCAATAAGTAGAAGCAGAAGTGGCCCCACTTACCATCTTTACCCGTGACTCACTTGGAGAATTTGCTCTTCTTACTCTTGCAACTTTAGACTCTGTGGGTCTAAAGATCCTGGTTTCCACAAGGGAAAAACTTCCATCAGGAGAGACAGCAAGAGTCCCATTCAACTTTAAGCTATTGCTGTTGTAACCGGACCCCGGTTCAGCGGCTCACTGCTAGAAAGCCAGACATGAGAGGTGAGAGTTGGTGGAAGGAAAAGTTGGCTTTAATCAAGTGCTAGCAGGCTTGTGGAGCTGGTTTTTACAACTGGGTTATTTTCCCTTCCACCACCCTCACTTCTCATGTTTGGCTTTCAAGTGGTGAGCAGCCATACCTGGGTCTGGTTACAAACATGGCACCCCATTAGATGCGAACTGACCCCCAGCCCCTGCTCTGCTAGCCATAACTACAGCTTTAATTAGACAAGAGACTGATTTTAGTAACTTTCTCCTGATAAGAGATCATGACTATGCACTAGTTCTGGCCTGTTTAGAGAAATTGTGCACTTGTATGCCTTTGTGTCCTGAAAATAATTTTTTTTTTTTTGAGACGGAATCTTGCTCTGTCACCCAGGCTGGAGTGCAGTGCACAATCTCGGCTCACTGCAACCTCCGCCTCCTGGGTTCACGCCATTCTCCTGCCTCAGCCTCCCAAGTAGCTGGGACTACAGGCACCCGCCACCAGGCCCAGCTAATTTTTTTGTATTTTTTAGTAGAGACGGGGTTTCACCGTGTTAGCCAGGATGGTCTCGATCTCCTGACCTCGTGATCCGCCCGCCTCAGCCTCCCAAAGTGCTGGGATTACAGGCGTGAGCCACTGCACCCAGCTGAAAAGAACTTTTGACGTATAGGGCCTAATTGTAATAGATTTAAATGTTAAGTCTCCACCCCAAATGGAACATGGGTCATGTTCATGTTACATGCATATTTGTTTGATACACGTCATGAATTCGCCTTGATTTATATTAGTAGCTCCTCCTATAACCTGTCACATATATATGTTTAGCTAACCTGTCATCCCCACAGAAGCTCTGGGTACAATTGACAGCGGGGAATGTGCACTATAATTAAGACTGAATGCTGTGTGTACATTCCAGATAACTCTGGAAATACATCCTCAACGCTGCAAGACATGCACAAGCAAATTAATGCTACGTCTGATCCCACAATGTCCTTAAATCAATGGCCCTCTTCATGATCTAGAACAGGCCCCTCCTGGTGAAGAAGAAAAAAGGTTGCTCATAATTTTGTTACCGGAAAGGGGTCTTGATCCAGACCCCAAGAGAGGGTTCTTGGACCTTGCACAAGAAAGAATTCAGGGCGAGTCCATAAAGTGAAAGCAAGTTTATGAAGAAAGTAAAGGAATAAAAGAATGGCTACTTCATAGGCAGAGCAGCAGCATGGGCTGCTCAACTGAGTATACTTACAGTTATTTCTTGATTATATGCTAAACAAAGGGTGGATTATTCATAAGTTTTCCGGGAAAGGGGCGGAGACTTTCTGGAACTGAGGATCCCTCCCCTTTTTACACTATATAGGGTAACTTCCAGACGTTGCCATGGCATTTGTAAACTGTCATGGCTGGTGGGAGCGTCTTTTAGCATGCTAATGCATTATAATTAACGTATAATGAGCAGCGAGGACTACTAGAGGTCACTTTCACTGCCGTCTTGGTGGGTGCCGTGGGTTTTAGCTGGCTTCTTTACCACATCCTGTTTTATCGGCAAGGTCTTTATGACCTGTGTCTTGTGCTGACCTCCTATCTCATCCTGTGACTAAGAATGCCTAACTTCCTGGGAATGGAGCCCAGTAGGTCTCAGCCTTATTTTACACAGCCCCTATTCAAGATCGAGTTGCTCTGGTTCAAATACCTCTGACAACTTTAGCCGTGATTATAGAGATAAGTTTATTCTTCTGCTGTGGGCTGTATTGCTGTTACACACCCACTATGATGCTCCAGCAGATCTCTTCTGTAAGCCCAGGGACTCATGAATACTTTGAACTCCAGGAAGACAGGTTCCATTCCATGGCTCCCTAACTATGCTGTTTTTCAGCAGGAACTAGCAAGAATGAATACACCATCCCTATTCCATAGAGATGGAATACAATTTGACAGTGGGGGAGTTTGTAACCAGGAACCTCAGCTTTAGAAAGTGCCCATTTTCTTCTTCCTTCCCTCCCCTCTCACCTCTTCATTCCTTCCCTCTGTAGGCACTCCCCTCTGACAATGCATGCTTATCTAATTATGCTTTTGCTTAAGAAATCCTGGAGGCTAATCTTGAAACAAACCAGGCATGGAGCTTCCATTGTGGAATTCTCCTGCTTAAGGGGAGTCACCAACAGGTGGAGGGCAGGTGGGTTACGACAATGCCAACTAGATATTGAGAAAAGTGATCTAAGAAGGCCCTTCGAACAAGACACACAGATTCTACGCCCTGCGCTCCTCCTGCCTGTCTCCCATACCAGGTTTCCCTTTCAAAGCCCTATGGTAAAATTTAAAATTTAAGTTGGTACTTCAGAAAACTAGTTCATCATCTTCTTGGTTTCATGCGCGTCCATGTGAAGAGACCACTAAACAGGCTTTGTGTGAGCAATAAAGCTTTTAATCACCTGGGTGCAGGCAGGCTGAGTCCAAAAAGAGAGTCAGCGAAAGGAGATAAGGGTGGGGCCGTTTTATAGGATTTGGGTAGATAAAGGAAAATTACAGTCAAAGGGGGTTGTCCTCTGGCGGGCAGAGTGGGGGTCACAAGGTGCTCAGTAGGGGAGCTTTTGGGCCAGGATGAGCCAGGAGAAGGAATTTCACAAGACAATGTCATCAGTTAAGGCAGGAACAGGCCATTTTCACTTCTTTTGTGGTGGAATGTCATCAGTTAAGGCAGGAACTGGCCATCTGGATGTGTACATGCAGGTCACAGGGGATATGATGGCTTAGCTTGGGCTCAGAGGCCTGAGATTCCTGTCTTCTCATATTAATAAGAAAAATAAAACAAAATAGTGGTAAAGTGTTGGGACAGTGAACATTTTGGGGGATGGTATGGAGAGAGAATGGGCGATGTTTCTCAGGGCTGCTTCGAGCGGGATTAGGGGCGGCGTGGGAACTTAGAGTGGGAGAGATTAAGCTGAAGGAAGATTTTGTGGTAAGGGGTGATATTGTGGGACTGTTAGAAGAAACATTTGTCATTTAGAATTATTGGTGATGGCCTGGATACAGTTTTGTATGAATTGAAAAACTAAACGGAATAAGAGAAGGAGAAAAACAGGTATTAAAGGTCTAAGAATTGGGAGGACCTAGGACATCTGATTAGAGAGCGCCTAAGGAGATTCAGCATAGTCGTGCCAGCAAAGATTATTTATTTACTTCAAGACTTAAGAGTGGCAGTTTGGGGATAGCACTAGGAGATACCAGCTGTGATGGCTTAGAGAAACCATGTAAACCGGCAGTGTAAACAAGAGCAGGGCATGTATGAGTAGTTGAGAACGGTGAATAGGAGTATGACTAGAAAGAAGGTAGTAGGGATGACAAGTTTCTTTGGGGCACAGTTTAAGTTGGTCTGGCGTCAAATGAGTCTGGGGCCTAATAAAAAGGAGCGTCTATACAGAAGCTCAAATGGGCTGTACTTTGTAGCATTCTGAGGACAGGTCTGACTTTTGAGAAGGGAAAGTGGTAAAAGTATTGTCCAGTCCTTTTTAAGTTGGTGGCTGAGCTTGGTGAGGTGTGTTTTTAAAAGACTTTTAGTCCGTTCTACTTTTCCTGAAGACAGAGGACTGTAAGGGATATAAAGGTTTCACTGAATACTAAGAGCCTGAAAAGCTGCTTGGCTGATTTGACTAGTAAAGGCTGGGCTGTTATCAGACTGTATAGAGGTGGGAAGGCTAAACTGAGGAATTATGTCTGACAGAAGGGAAGAAATGACTGCGGTGGCCTTCTCAGACCTTGTAGGAAAGGCCTGTACCTATCCAGTGAAAGTGCCTACCTAGACTAAGAGGTATTTTAGTTATCTGACTCAGGGCATGTTGAGTAAAGCTAATTTGCCAGTCCTGGGTGGGGGCAAATCCTTGAGCTTGACGTGTAGGGAAGGGAGGGGGCCTGAATAATCCCTGAGGAGTAGTAGAATAGCAGATGGAACACTGAGAAGTTATTTCCTTGAGGATAGATTTCCATGATGGAAAGAAAATGAGAGGTTCTAAGAGGCGGGCTAGTGGCTTGTACTATAGCATAGCCTGCCTTTGCTGGTGTGTGGTGATGAGGGCTGGTGGAACTGCCATCAATAAATCAAGCATGATCAGAGTGAGGAACAGGAAAGAAGGAAATATGGGGAAATGGGGTGAATGTCAGGTGGATCAGAGAGATACAGTCATGGTGTGGTATCAGGAATAATGTGGGAGGCCGGATTGAAGTCTGGGCCAGAAACAATGGTAATTGTGGGACTTAACAAAGAGTGAGTACAGCTGAAGGAGCCGGGGAGCAGAAAGTATATGCGTCAGGTATGAGGAAGAAAATAGATTTTGGAAGTTATGAGAAATGTAGAGAGTGAGTTGAGCATAGTTTGTGATTTTTAGGGCCTCTAAAAGTATTAAAGCAGCGGCAGCCGCTGCACGCAGACATGAGGGCTAGGCTAAAACAGTAAGGTCAAGTTGTTTGGACAGAAAGGCTACAGGGTGTGGTCCTGGCTTTTGTGTAAGAATTCTGACCGCACTAACCATGCCTAGGAAGGAAAGGAGTTGTTATTTTGTAAGGGATTGAGGTTTGGGAGATTAATTGGACGCTATCAGCAGGGAGAGCACGTGTGTTTTTATGAGAATTATGCTGAGATAGGTAACAGATGAGGATGAAATTTGGGCTTGACTGAAGTAATGGGGGCTGTCTGTGAAGCCTTGCGGCAGTACAGCCGAGGTAATTTGCTGAGCCTAATGGGTGTCAGGGTCAGTCTAAGTGAAAGCAAAGAGAGGCTGGGATGAAGGGTGCAAAGGAATAGTAAAGAAAGCATGTTTGAGATCTAGAACAGAATAATGGGTAGTAGAGGGAGGTATTGAGTATGGGTTTGGCACCACGGGTGGATAGGCAGAACAATTTGGTTGATAAGGTGCAGATTCTGAACTAACTTGTAAGGCTTGTCTGGTTTTAGGACAGGTAAAATGGGGGAATGGTAAGAAGAGTTCATAGGCTTTAAAAGGCCATGCTGTAGCAGGCGAGTGATAACAGGCTTTAATCCTTTCAAAGCGTGCTGTGGGATGGGATATTGGCATTGAGCGGGGTAAGGGTGATTAGGTTTTAATGAGA
This sequence comes from Homo sapiens, assembly GCF_000001405.40. Classification (NCBI taxonomy): domain Eukaryota; kingdom Metazoa; phylum Chordata; class Mammalia; order Primates; family Hominidae; genus Homo; species Homo sapiens. Next base: position 71,127,270 of record NC_000014.9, on the reverse strand, counting down.
TGGTAAGGGATGCATGATCGGTCACTAAGGAGGGAGTAGAGGTATCTTATACTTGTGGGTTAAGGTGGGGAGATACAAGGGGAGGATGTGAAGGAGGCTTTGAACTGGGGGAAAAGGTGGCAATGAGGTGTGGCTGTAGCCCAGGAATAGTCAGGGAAGCAGATAATTTAGTTAAAGTGTCTCGGCCTAGTAAGGGAACTGGGCAGGTGGGGATAACTAAAAAGGAGTGCTTAAAGGAGTATTGTCTAAGTTGGCGCCAGAGTTGGGGAGTTTTAAGAGGTTTAGAAGCCTGGCCGTCAATAGCACAACAGTTATGGAGGCAAGGGAAACAGGCCTTTGAAAAGAAGGTAATGTGGAGTGGGTAGCCTCCGTATTGATTAAGAAGGGGACGGACTTACTTTCCACT